>NC_000002.12:82917625-83223008 GCF_000001405.40 Homo sapiens
GGCACTGTGGTTCTAAACACAGCATAATCTTGCTTTATCAGATAACATTTGATTTGCATCAGGATCCACCACATGCTAAACATTCAATTTTGAAACAGTAACTTAAACACCATGTTACCTTTTTTATTTGTAAAGTGAAGATAAAATATTTTAAAATACAAACAATTATTGTGAACATTAAATGAGTTATTGAATATGAAATTTTTCTCACAGCACCTGGAACATAGCAATCAATAAGTAATAGCTGTAATTATTTATTAAAATGTATCCATTTACTGCCTGTAACTAAACAGGAAATGATGTATTATTACTGCTTTAATTGAATTTATGATTATATTTTCTTCCTCTAGATTGTAAACTCTGTAAACTCCTGCAGTGCAGGAACAATTACTTTCAGCCTCTTTGCACTCATGGAGTAACAAAATGCCTGTCACAGTAAATAAATAATATCTACTGAATGAATAAACAACATAAATATATAAACAGCTAGTTTAGGTTGCTATTAGCATTGCGTACCATATATGAAGTGAATGTGCACAGCAGAACTAATTGGGCAGAAAATATTTCCATTATAGTCTGTCAAAACTAAGGCATCAGCACTTGTAACACATATAATGTAAATAAGTAAATATCTGCTTTAATTAATGCTATTGAAAAATTTCTCTTTTCCACCTGAATTCTCTCCTATCAGAATATGGCAAGTAATAAAGAGATTCAGCCTGTGTTGTAAGGGGCTAAAGGCAGATCGTTTTTTTAAACTTAGATTTGGTAGATGGCAGGGAAAGGAACACCAAGACATTTGAAGGAGAGTGATACTTATTTTTTATCACAAAGAAGTAAGAAGAGAAATAGAAAACCTATTTTTTCACCAAAATAGGCCTTCCATATATATGGGTTTAATCAACATATACAAAGTTACATATATTAAGTATATTATATATGAGGACATTGGAGAAGGGATCCCTGGCTTGAAGAATCTTCAAAAGTGTCTATATCGCTATTGTCCAATACAAATACTGTCCAATATGGTAGCCCTAGCTACATGAGGTTACTGAGCACTTACAATGTTACTAAAGCAATTCAGAAAATTAAATTCTAATTTCAATAAGTTTTTATTGACTTAAGTTTAAATTTAAGTAACCACATATGGCTACTAACATGGGACAACACAGGTATATGTTAACTCTAAATCTTCAAAAGTATACAAAAAGAAATAAAAATATCTCTCACAAGTTGACCTTGATTTGGTATACCTTTCCTTTTTCCATACAATTTTAGGAAATTTCAACATTCATAATTTATCCTCAGTTTCCACACCACTAATTAAAGTGATTTTAAGTTACATTTCAGTAGCCAATCTGTCAGTGAGTTGTATGCATGACTCCCCATATCTGAAATTATATTATAATTAACTCAAGGAAATTATTATAAATATGGGGAATTTTTTTCTCAGGAAACTCACATTTCTTTTGAGATGAAAGTACACACATGTGAGAATTTTTTTTTAAATATCAATGTCAATTTTATACAAACTTAAACCTAATCTGATTTATTAGAGACAATATATTTCTGATAAGAAGAAACTCCTCATGGATTTTTTGATAAGAATGTTTTGATAATGTTTCTTTAAATTCAGTACTAGACACTGAATTTAAAGTAAATACTGAGCATCTTTGGAAATGCCAATTCAAATATATAAGCGTATACATTTTAAACATCCATTCTGAGTTATTTAATGTTGCTGAGATCACACAATGAAAACTATTATATCTAACTTCAAATATCTAATTACTAAATAGCAGAAAATTATATGCCTTAAGAAAAAACATGGCCCTTTACATTAGCTATAGAGAGCATCTTACAGTTGTTTTCCTTTGTTTCTGTCTCTGAACAAAAACTATACAAAAAATTGTTAGATTTTAAAGAACTAGAAATACTGAAATTCCAATTTTATATTGACTTTAACCCAAAGTAAATAGAGGAGATTTTCTCTGTAGATGTGAAAAGCAAAGTCTATGACCCCAAGTGAAATCAGATTGCCGCTTTAATTTGATTGAGAAGTTCCAGTTCTGAAGACAGCTGGACACAGCAGAGTAGGAAGTAAGAATTATAAGGCTGATATACTCAATGATCTGAGTTTCCTTAAGGAAAAATAAACTACTTAGAACATGGAAAGAGACACATGCCTTGAAATTCTATAGTGGCTAGCAAGACTACCTCATTATTGTTAATTGCTACATATTATTGCATTATTTATTTTGAAGCACTTTATAGATTTTAAAATTCCTTTCTATATTAAATATTGATGAATGATGTCTATGCATAAAAGGAAACATAAAGTAGATTTTGTTTTATTTTGGTGGGAGGTTGTTAGTCTGTTTTGGTTGCTATAGCAAAATATCTTAGACTGGGTAATTTTAAACAATAAAGATTTATTGCTCACAGTTCTGGAGGGTGGGAAGTCCAAAATCAAAGGGCTATCAGATTCCTGTCTGGTGAGGCCACTTCCACACACTTCACCTTCTTGCAGTGTCCTAACATGGTGGAAAGGGCAAGGGAACTCCCTATATCCTCTTCTATAAAGGTGCTAATCCTAGTCATGAGAGTGAAGCCCTCATGAATTAATCACTTCCCAAAGGCCCCACCTTTTAATACTATCACATTGAGTATTAGGTTCCAGTATATAAATTGTAGAAGGAGAGCACACCAATAGTTAGATCAGAGCCAAAGTAGATTTAAAAATATTTGGAGCATAGCCATATTGTGTGAGAAAATGTTAACTTTTTTATTAGCCCAATTCAATAACAATTTAAATGTAAAATCAACCTATTTATGTAAGAGCAAATTTTAGGTTATGCATATATTACACTAAAATTATGCACTGTGGGTTCAGAGTGATATAGTCTTGTCTTCATTGAAAGCCAGATAAAGTTGGACATGTTAACATTTTTATTTCCTTTGTTCTATAATTACACATTATCATGGCATCATATAGAGAATAACCAAATAATAGAAACTGTATTATTTGATGAAGATGCTATTGATAATATCCCATTAGTAATACATATGTGTTCAGTTTTTCCAACTCATCCGATGTTTGAAGTGTCAATGCCCCTGTTTTATCCATTTATTCTCAGGTATCAAAAGTCAGGGGATGAATGATTGACTATCTAGGTACAGAGAAAGTCTATACATGTGAACCTCATAAAAACCTTAGGAATTTTAGAATTTGGTTTGATTTGGATTATAGTCTGGGCCCTCACTTTATATACAGAAATATCTGACCTCCTCTGTTTGGTGACCAGAAAATGTCTGGGAATTTTCTACTAAGCTGCTGAAGCTGTTATACATTTCAGAGAAAGTTTCAGCAAAGCATACTCCTCATGGCAATTGACAATCTTCTTATGGCCCAACATGGTGGACAAATCACATTAATAGCCACAGACTGATCTTCCCAGAGGAGTCATTCAACAGGGCCCATCTGAAGCCATCCTACTTCTAATCTATTTTGAAAATCAAAGATCCTACCATTTCAGAATTTCTTAAGGTAATTGATCTACTTTATGTTTCCTGTGATATATAGCTTAATCTAGTTTGGAGGTGAAAGATGCAATTAAGAAGGCAAAGTGAAGAAGAGAATTTTGAGATGCAGCACTTTCAGTTTAAAGGGCTATTCGTGACCATAATTGATGCATCAACTAAAACTCTTTCTTTCACCTTTGCAGGGCCTCTATGTTGCTAATGGACAGTGTTTGGATGCATTGTGGTTTCAGGGGTGATAGTCTTTACTGCCTTGAAAGCCAGATAAAGTTAGACATTAACAAAACAGTAACGCAAATTTAAACATGTTAAAGAAAACACAATAATATAGCTCTCTGGTTTTCTGATAATAGCAATTTTGCATTTTTTTCTGTTTTCTAGTAAGTATTTTCAGAAAAAACTTCTTCAGTGAGAGACACTGCTTTCATATGTATGTGTGTGTGTATGTTTAAATTAAACTACTTAACATTTTTAATTGTTAAAAAAGATCCTTTATATTGTTTTCTTCTTGTCAAAGTCAAAACAATTTAATCTGTATATTTAAATAAAAAGTCAGAGCAATGGAAAAAAATTCAAGGCTATAAGGAAAACTGTATCTCTGGCTTCCCACATCCTCCTGTGATGTCTGAAATTGTTCAACATTTCAACCAAGACTGCCTTGAACCATTATCTTCATATCCCTTGTTAGTGAACACACTACCTTCCAAGTCAGCCTAGCATATCCCATCTTTAGACATTTCAGAGTTTTGGAATGATTTTTTTCTATTAAACTGAAACATTTTCAATTTTAACTTGTATATGTTAGTCTTGGTATTGTTTTGGAGGAAAACACAGAACAGATCTGAATACTTTTCCCCTTTCCTGAATACGATATTCCCCTTTCCAAATCTTTCAAATATTTGATGTTTGTAAGCATGAACCTTGTGAATCTCTTCCATAAGCCACATAAAATTTAAAACATTCTACAAAAGTTATGGTTTTTAATTTTCTCACTATGATCTCCTTCATATGTTCCAGGACATTCATACTATATTCTACTCCAGAAAAAATAAACTTTAAATAGCATTGTTGGGGGTGGAGCATAGGAAAGTTCATTATGCTCTTTATGTTTTTACAGAACATTAATGTACTCTCCCTTCCTCCCATTGGGATGGGAGAAGGGGATCGATGGACCCTTTCAGTTCTCTCATCATTCCTTTATTTGCTCTTTCTCAAAGAAGGATTAGTACTGTCAAAGAGGAATTGCACCAAAGTAGTGCAATAGGGGTCAATATTATTGCAACAGAAGAAAGAAATTTAACTTAACTTCAAAGAACCAAAAGGCAGAAAACGTTTTAGGCACCGTAGTGACCCTAGTAGAAGAGTACTTTAGGAAGGTAAGGAGGGAAGTTGGTTGATGTGTTTATGCCTTCTATATTTGCTAACTAGAATTTGTCAAAATTAGGTTCTATCTACCTGCCAACAGAAAATGTGAGATAAGGGCTCTAGCCTTCTGAATAACTACATTTCTTTTATATATTATATATATATATTATTTATATATAATATATATTCTATATGTAATATATATTATATATAATATATTCTATATATTCTATGTATTATATATTATATATTATATATGTTATACTTTGAGTTCTAGGGTACATGTGCACAAAGTGCAGGTTTGTTACATATGTATACATGTGCCATGTTGGTGAGCTGCACCCATTAACTCATCATTTACATTAGGTATATCTCCTAATGCTATTCCTCCCCCCTCCCCCCACCACACGACAGGCCCCAGTGTGTGATGTTCCCCTTCCTGTGTCCAAGTGTTCTCATTGTTCAATTCCCACCTATGAGTGAGAACATGCGGTGTTTGGTTTTTAGTCCTTGTGAAAGTTTGCCGAGAATGATGGTTTCCAGCTTCATCCATGTCCCTACAAAGGACATGAACTCATCATTTTTTATGGCTGCATAGTATTCCATGGTGTATATGTGCCACATTTTCTTAATCCAGTCTATCATTGTTGGACATTTGGGTTGGTTCCACTGTTGGTGGGACTGTAAACTAGTTCAACCATTGTGGAAGACAGTGTGGCGATTCCTCAGGGATCTAGAACTAGAAATGCCATTTGACCCAGCAATCCCATTACTGGGTATATACCCAACGGATTATAAATCATGCTGCTATAAAGACATACGCACATGTATATTTATTGCAGCAATATTCTGAATAACTACATTTCAAAGGAATAGCTCCCAGATCCATGAGAATGATGAGCCTGGAATGTAAAACTGGCAGAAGGCTGAAAGAAGACTTTCATATCAAAGCTGCAGAGAAATAATTTATAATTGCCAGTTTTCTAAAATAAATACGTAGGTGCCTATAGTCAGGAAGGAACCCATCTGAAATTTAGTCAAGCTGTGGGGGAACATTAGACTGGCTTGGTCAATATCTACTTTTGATTGTTAAAAAAGTGGCTTTCATTGGATATGTTGAATGGAGCAAAGAAGGCACTGCAATTTCCCTGATGCCAAAAATGCTTCTTTTACATCAAGCACTTCGTATTTGAGAAGCTGGCTAAATGTGCAGCAATAATGCTCTAAAAGTTCATATTTCTTTCAGATGAGTAAAAATATCTTGACTTTGCAGAAGTATAAGGAAGCCCATCTTGGACTTAAAGTAAAATCTTTGTTTTGCAATGTACCTTGCTCAAGATCCCTGTATTTTGTCAGTTACTGGGCTGAACCTAAAAAACAGGCAACACCTTGATCTTCTTTCTCCTATGATTATTCTATGGATACATTCTTTCTTAGAACACAGAGTGGTTGAGAAATAACAATTGTGAACCTAATGTCCATCAAATGTAACACAGGGAGCAGAATCTCCAGGAATTAAATATCTAAAGAGTAACCTGAAACAGATGAGGGACTTGAAATTGCCATTAACTTGAAAGGAACTGCTGGTAAGAGAAAAGATGCCCCTCAAGAACGCTGGACACTTAACAGAGTGGGGGTATAATGCAAAAAATCTCATGAAATCTGGTACAGCAAACACTATAAATGGGCTAAAACTAAGGAAAAAAAAACAGAAAAAAAGAAGAGAAAAACATATGCCTAAAATATGAGTCAAAAGTCTAGACAGATCCATGTTAAGCTAGTATCATGTTGAAAAAGAGCCTTAATCTATGAAAAGCAACTTGTTTTAGAGATGAATAAAATGTCCATATAGTTTAATCCCGTATGTGAGCTAGCTGTTCAAAAGTCTCAGTAGATACAACACACGCAGCAGGAGCTTCAATGAATATTGACTGGCGTTTGCATTTCTCTAGTACACTTAAGGAAAGAAAATCAAAGGTCTGTAGTGAATATGAGAAAAGCAAAGGAAATAGGAAGAGATGCCTTTGGGAACTTTGATGAATTATTTCCTTTACTTTGAATTCATTAAATCACTAGGGTGGGTAGTGACCTTTTACTAAAGTGCCTGCTACTTATGTGAGGAAGTTCAAAATCAGCATAATGCCTGAGCTTTGGTAGAAAATGTTCTGATCAAAACAAAATAAGACAAAAAAGTGGAAAAGTAAGTAAAGTGAAGATTAGTATTGGAGATGCGCATCATAAATCAGTTTAAAATAAGTTTAAATTATTCAAGCAGCAGAACACAATTTTCAATTGAAAATCTTTTGCTGTAACTAACTGAGGTACCACTGTGCCTCTAATATAAGATTTTAAGCAGATTTGTATTTCTTTGGTGACTATTTTCCAGTTCCTTTGCATATACATAATACATTTGAATGAATATTTGAATAATGGATGTTTGTCTGGAGTAACTTACCTGTCAAAGCCATGACATTGGAAATGGAAATTATTTATTATGGAAATCAAGTATTTGATTGATTGCTATAATACCATTTAATGGAAATTACACCAAATTTTGAGTCATACAATTCAAGTGTAAGCTGCAGGTCCTTCATCTTTTGCTTGGGGAAGGGTGGGATAGAAACATCTATTATATTTTCCCCCTAGGGTTTATATAATGCAGCAAATAAAATTAATCTCTGTATGTACATTTTGTAAAAACTGTATATTGTTTTTCAAATATTAATTGATCATCTACTATTTGCAACTTTCAGTACTTAGAAATTGTAATAAAATATTAAGATATAGTTCCTCTTCTTAAGAAATTTAAATTTAATGCTGGTAACTTTTAAGCAAAATTACAATTACAATGTGATTTGTAATATGATGGAGCCCCAGAAAGAAACAACTGAATGAAATGTTAAGGGTCTAGAAAGATTGCGATGAGTGATATTTTCATTTAGGGGCAACATATATTAATATATTAGCTAGATGAGAAGTGAGAAGATTCTGTAAGGAAGGATATTATAAGAGAGACGGAAGCCAGAATTGAATTGAAAAGGGAAAACAAAAGGAGGGTTTCCATGTCAGCTGAGGAATTTGCATTTGATTCTGAATGGTATGACATTAAAATATTTTAAAAGAGGTGTGGTATACCTAAGTTTACATTTTTGAAAGTTTGTTCTGGCTGTATTACAGGGAACATTGGATCGTCCTCAGCAAAGATGCATGGCAAGGAGGCTCATGGAAATCATTGCATTAATTTAGTAAAAAGATGTTGCTAAATTAGTGCCACAGAAAATGCAGACAGGGAAATTTGAGAATGAGCAAAGCTAGGGAATTGACAGGATTTTGAGGCCACTCAAATGTGAATGAGAGAATAAAAAAGGAGATGTCAGTGTTGCTTTCTTCAAGACTGGGGATAATTGAGAACATACACAATTTAAGGGATGGAGAAGGAGATCCATTCAGTTAAAATGTCTGTGGAATATTCAGGTAGAAATTTGCAGTCGGTGGTGAACCACATGCAAAGGAGAATGACCTGGGGCAGACATACAGTAATGAAATCTTCGGGGAGAACTAAATCATAGAGGAAGAGGGAGGAGACTGAAAAGACTTATAAGCAAACTACTGGGAACAAAAATATTTGGAATGAGGCTGTGGAAGTGGTGAAGTTTTCAAATATCTACCGTCAGTAATGAGAATGAGCATGGACTAGGAACAAGCAGATGATGCACTAATCACTTTTGAGACCCCATTTGTCACTGGCATCCATTCTGTAAGATTTTGTGTCCTATTTGTGTGTTATCTTCAAGACAGTGCCCTGAGCTAGAAAAGGCAGTGTTATTGTACCCTGTACTTTAGATCTGCATTATAGCAACAAAAGATCAAGCAGATAGTGGGTTGAGAATCTGGACAAAAAGGTTGTTGATGTGGTGACCATGAACTTTTGCTGGGATGGAAAGGAGGTAGTGACAGAATTGGGCAGCTGGGCTGGGACAGGGTGGCACATCAGCATCCTGGAGGTCTGGATTGGTTCAAAGAAATATGTAGAGTAGAAAAATATATGCATTGCTGAGATACTTGTACATTGTCATAAAAGTTATGAACAAAGGTGAAACAGAGAAGCTAAGGATTGTGAAGACATATTCAGATTGGCATTTCCCCTCTATAATCCATGAAATACTAGTTAAGTGGCCTGTAATGCACTGTTATTAAGAAAGTTTGACAGATGTAGCCTAAATAATGTTAACTTTATTTTAAGCAACTTCTTTTACAGGTACTATTTGATCTTTTAGCATGGATTTCCAAAACTATTTAACCATTATATCCATTTTGTCTGAATATGTGAGTGATAATGGCCCATGGAGCTCATTTGGAGAAATACTGAAGTAGATCATGTAGGTCAGGTACCAGTGTGATGTCTGGCATAATTTATGCTCAATAATTGCTCCATTTAAAATAAGTCATGCATTTTGATAGGAACTCCTCTGCATAATCTTTTGACCTCATCATATAGGCAATACTAGACAACTGGCTGTGCTTTAGAACTCGCCGTGTTTTTATTTTCTCAGCTGTCACAGAACCTAAAACAGTGGCTTTCACTGAAATTCAGCTCTAGTGGATGAAGCTAAAGTATAGAGCAGAACTGTGCATTAGATGCAGCCTTGATACTTAGGAGCAGAAGGAAATAACCCATATTAGGTTTTTGAAGCTGTTAAGAGTTAAACCATAAAGGATGTCAGGTTAATATTTACATGTGTAAATCAAGATAGTGTAAAGGACTGGGTTAGCTGACACTCCTAGGAAGTTTTCAACAGCACTTACTGAGTTTATCTAAAGGTGATGTTTAATATACTCTAGAGTGGCACTGAGGTAGGTGACAGTTGCCTGTGTCTCATCTAGCCTATCTCTATCAACCTTCAATCACCAAAAAAAAAAAAAAAAGAAATCACGCAAACCTTCCGCATTTTACCTTCTAAATATCCCTCCAGTTGGTTTCCGTTTCTACCACTGACAAAGCAGTGTTAACTACAGACATACTCCAGGAATTCTTTAATGATCTCTTTGATAGTCTCATTTCTAAAGAGCAATTCCTCTTCTCAGTATTTTCTCTCTACGACAGAGATACTTAAAAATGCATATCTTATTATTTAAACACTTTCCACGGCTTCACTCTGTTCTTAGGCCTAAGACCCACATTATTAACATGTTTTATGTAGGCATGACTAGCCAATTATACTGGGACTTCTAATTTCACCCTCCATGTTGCCCTCCCAACAGGACTAATTAGGACTACATTAAGCCTCTTGAATGCACTGGGCCCCTCATTCCTCATGACTCCTTCACATGTTGTTGCCTCTTCTAGTTAAGATCTTTCTCATCTCCTCTCATTCAATGAACTCCTACATATCCTTTAGATTTTTGCAGAAATTTTACTTCATCAAGAAAGTGTTCTCTAATTTTCTTATATTATATTAGGTCCTTGTGTTATAGGACCCCATACCATGTCATAATTACCATTTATAGCTCTTATTGCTATATACCACAAATATTTTATTTTCTTCCTCTCCCGTACCATTGAAATTATTTGGGGACAGAAGCCATGTCTATTTTGAACATTCTTACATCTCTAATAACAAAAAAGTTGTATGCCATGTAGTAGGTTCTCAGTAAGTTATTGTGTAGTACCTGATGAATACATGAATATTATCAATAATGAAACAAGTAAGTCAAACAATGGAACTGATTATAGTGTCACAGAGACTGCAATATTCTGTCATATATTCTCTCTCTTCAGTTTATTACCACTACATACTGAAGAGGGTAGGAGGAAAGTGTCTTGTCAGCCTAAGTAGGAGAATGAGTGCAAGAAAAGGATTTTGGGGAAGACGATCCTTGACATAAGGAAAATAAAATATAAATTTAGTCAATTAATTTTTGTTACTGGTTTTTAGTACTCTTCAAGCAGTTCTTTTCTGTGGATGAATCAAATTCATTTAAAGTGATGGGGAAGGTTTTACCATAGTTACTTAGTAATAGGTCAACACTGTTTTGTTCACCGGATTAGTTAACCAAGCCATTTGAAAATACAGTAAAGAGAGAACATTTGCTGATGTGTTAATATTGTTGAGAATCAACTTTCCTACAGCACTGTGCAAAGTAGTGGATAGCGTGGGGTGTGTGTGTGTGTGTGTGTGTGTGTGTGCATGTTGTACTGAAATGTGAGGGAGAATTCTTTAAAGGGATATGATACTTACAATTAATTTTTAGAAAGTAAGTTTGTTTAATCATGGCTTTCAAAAATAGAAGAATATGCACTCCATTCTTGAATCTGTCATGGAGCTTCCATGTTTGAGTGGCTGAAAAATAAACTTTCTCAATTCTCTTCATAGAAGGAACCAGACATATATGATTTCTATGTCACGTTTTCCTTTTAAATAATTAAATATAAATGGACATTCAGATTGCATTGGAAAATTGGCTACTTTCTCTAATCATGTCTCCTTCCTGAAAAGTAATTAGAACCTTTATTAACTGTAATTTTATTAAATCCTCACAATAGTTTAATGAGTTGGGATCCCTATTACTCCCATCTTACACATGAAGAAATTGAGACTTACAGATGTTATATATCTTATTTAAGGGTACATAGCTAGTAAGTAAGGAGCTAAAGATGGAACATGGAAAACTTTATTTCAGGTATTCTCTCCTGAAGAATGTGAGAACTGAAGTTCAGACGTTTACCAAAACATTCATATTTTCAGCAAACATGTATTGACTGCTTTGTGCCCAGTACTGTGTTAACTAAGCAGCAAGAATGAGAACTGCTTCCTCCAAGGAGCTCATAGTCTAGGAGAAAAAACAGACAACTAATAAGAGGATAATAAGTAGTAGATGCTATTAAATGCATGATGCCCTGAGGGCACATGATCCAAATAAGTGATCTGAATGATGTTTTATCAGAGAATTTAGTAAAGAAATGCAAGAAGGAAGTGTTTAAGTTAGAAGGAAATACGGATCTTACAAGGCAAAGGAAGCAAAAAAAGAAAAAACAAACCATGAGAAGCAATATGGTAGAGTGTCTTGTGTAATGAGAGAAGTTCATTTAGGCTAAAACAAAAGTTACAATTTAGGAAGTAAGGAGTGAGAAAGGTAGAATGTAAGACAAATGCCAAAACTGAAAATGTCTTACAGTATATGCAAATCATGTGGGGCTTTTCTCTGAAGATAATGGCAATTTTAATGTATTTTATTTTTTAATTTTAAACCACCAATTTTATACAAATACTTTTTTAAAAAAATTTAGGAGATCTTTTTCTATGCCTTCAGTGTGAATAGTGTAATGAGGGAATATTAGCGTCAGTTTTTGTGAGAAATTATTGAGATTTTTGCTAAGGGCCATGACAATGTGGAAAACATGTCAGTTTGGGGAGCAAATAAAAAACTCATAGTCAACTGGATTAGAAGGCAATAAGTGAGGGCTATCCTGGGGGCAAAAATGCTATGTCGGTAACTAGCTACTATTTATTAACATATTCAAATGGACATACATGTTTTAGAATATTTTTATCTTTTTTGTTGTTGTTGCTGAGACAGAGTTTTGCTCTTGTAGCCTAGGCTGGAGTGCAATGGCGTGATCTCGGCTCACTGCAACCTCTGCCTCCCAGGTTAAAGCAATTCTCCTTCCTCAGCCTCCTGAGTAGCTGAGATTACAGGCGCCCATCACCACGCCTGGCTAATTTTTTTTTGTATTTTTAATACAGACGAGGTTTCACCATGTTGGCCAGGCTGGTCTCAAACTCCTGACCTCAGGTGATCACCCGCTTCAGCCTCCCAAACTGCTGGGATTACAGCCATGAGCCACCCTGCCTGACAAGAGTATTTTTAAATAATAGTTGGGAATTGTTCTTAGCGAAGTTATTTATCTAATTAAGCAGATATCACCATTCCATGATCTTGTCAACCATTTGAAAGTGGAGGTTAGTTTTGGTGTTAATGGTTTGCCCACCTCCCAACCACCTTGCAGTGTCTCCTCAGGAGGTTTCTGTCCACAAAATAATTTTACGTTTATTTTTGCAATATTTAGATAAATCTTTGCACAAAGTATCTCCAGATTGATGCTGATATACTAAGATCCATAAATATTCACCAGTTCTAACCCAAGTATCCTTTTCCGGATACATGCGAAATCATTGGATGATGTCTGTTTTGCCACCTCCATGTTTCATCAATATCTTACTATCTCCACAATGACCAGAAGAGAAATGCAATTACCCTGTCAGCCATGGCTTGATTTCTGATTTCCACAGAGCTCAAGTTTTACTAAAGAAGACTTCATTATTTTGTTAGGCATAATAGCACAGAAGGAGTTCCAGCTTCCTCCTGGAGCTGCAAACTGCAGCAAGTTGGAGTGAATTTATTTCTGAGGTTTGACAATTCTTCAATGTTAATATATTTTCAGTCTAATTTTGTTATACATTAGCACATGCTCAGAATGTCAACCACCCCCTTATTGCAGATCACAGATTTAGGTTAAGTTTGTATTGCCAAGTGTTTGCTAAAGAGTAAGTGCCTTATGCCTTGCCAAATTTATCGATTTGAGTTTTGTTTGATTTAGCTCAACATTAGAGAAAGTGAGTGCTTAAGGTAACATTGTATATGATTCAGAATAAAATCACAGCAAGTTCCATTAAGTGACTTTTCCCAGACTATATATCATGTATAAAATTGACAATGCAAGTCATTTGTATATTTGGGGTCATTCTACTAATTTTCTTTGCATTGATAAGTGATGTATGAGTTTCAATATGTGGTGGATAATATATTGCAATTTCAAAAATAGAAGCTTCTGTCGGAAATAAGTAAAATTATTTCCAAATACTTGCAGCCCCCTGCTTTATGAAGTGACAGTTTCCAAATACGGGGATTATTTTCCAAATCTGAGAAAAGGGAATATATTTTAACTAGACCAAATGCTACTTAATCCTTATGTAATGTGAGAGCACTGTCTATAACAGACTTTGTGTTTTAAGACCTCATTGACAGAGAGAAGAGAGTGGTGGATTGTTCTGATGACAATGAGGATTTAATAATAAGTGTCTAATTGCAATTTAAACCCTTTTGATAGACTACCTCTTTTCATCTGTGTATGCATATATCTGTGTGTGTACATGTGTGTATGTATGTATAAATGCAAAATGGAGCATAATGTTATGTTCAAATGTTCAAAGGGCCTAATTATTCCAAAATAATTCTATAAATCAGGCTCTATATAAATGCTAGAAGAAATATGTTTTCAAAGGCAGTTTCTGCATTACTAAAGCATGAAAACATTATTGTAAGAATCACAATTAAATAGCACCCAACTCAGGCTGGGTGTGGTGGCTCACACCTGTAATCCTAGCACTTTGGGAAGCCGAGGCGGGTGGATCACATGAAGTCAGGAGTTCAAGACCAGCCTGGCCAACATGGCGAAACCCAGTCTCTACTAAAAATACAAAAATTAGCGGGGCGTGGTGGCAGGCACCTATAATCCCAGCTGCTTGGGAGGCTGAGGCAGGAGAATCGCTTGAACCCAGGAGGCAGAGGTTGCAGTGAGCTGAGATTATGCCACTTCACCCCAGCCTGGGCAAAAGAGCAAAACTCTGTCTCAAAATAATAATAATAATAATAATAATAATAATAATAATAATAGCACCCAACTCTGTTTGGTTAGGGTTTCTTTTTTAAGTAAATGTCAAAATTATACTCTTACAGATTAATTTTCCAAGTGTATCACATCAAATTTTAATTTGTTAAATTAATTTAACAAATTAACAAATTGTTAATTTAAATCTGTAAATTATTAATTTAAAAGTTGTTGGATTAATCACTAATATTTCCTTATTGGATTACATAGAATAAGAAAAATCAATTATTTCTGATATGCTGAATTTTTGCTAGCCAAAGATATTGAATATTTGAGACTCAAGGCAAAATAAGCCATATCTTCTTCTTTTTTTTTTTTTTTTTTTTTTTTTTTTTTTAGATGAAGTCTTGCTCTTGTTCCCAGGCTGGAGAGCCTGGCATGATCTTGGCTCACTGCAACCTCCGCCTCCCAGGTTCAAGGATTCTCCTGTCTCAGCCTCCCGAGTAGCTGCGATTACAGGCACCTGCCACCATGCCCAGCTAATTTTTGTATTTTTAGTAGAGATGGGGTTTCACCATGTTGGCCAGGCTGGTCTCGAACTCCTGACCTCAGGTTATCCACCCGCCTCAGCCTCCCAAAATGCTGGGATTACAGGCGTAAGCCACCGTGCCCGGCCCTGTTTCTCCATGTGTGTGCATGTATTAAGACTAAAAATGCAAAGGTAATGAAATGGTAAAAATAAAATAAAATAAATTTAAGATAGCATTTTCATCTGAATGGAAACAGGGAAATGTAGAGAGTGGCACATTGTTAGAAGCACATTTATTTGTAATGAACTAATTTGTGGGTTCATTGGTTGTTTCACCAAATTTCATTATACTATTCAATAAATACCTATATAAAAAATCACAAAGCTTTCTCTTTTCCATTCTCAGCTCAGAGAAATATAAAGCTTGAAACACCATTGTTCCCACCCTTATAACAATGAAAGAGCTAGACAGACTACAAATTAATGACTTTCTTGAATACATCAAAGAACTGAATTCTCACAACATCCAACCCATCCCCAGTGTGGGAAAGCCAAGAGTCTGCAGGGGAAGTGTCAGGAGCACATGCGTAACAAGGGCAGCTACCACTGGACATGAAATAAGCCAGTAAAAAGAATTCAGCTGAAATGTTTACTTGTTATCGAAGGCCAAGTTTGAGCTAGTGTGCAAATGGAAATCCCTTAGAAATTGCAGATTTAGGGAAGGTTCACACCTCTTATGGACTCTTCTCCATAAACCCCACCAGACACTCACAGGGACGATTAGAAAGACTCCTAAGGAATCATGCCTTTTGATACTAGCTAGAGGAAGAGCATAGCTGAAACTGCTGAAACTTTGCCTAGAATCATCTCATCTTCCTCCTCTATAGAATAAAGGTATTGGTTTTCAGATGAAAAGACAACAGATTTTCACCTAAAAAGCCTGGTAGCCCACTGAAGCTGGGTTAAGGAAATAAGGGCAATAAAAAAGCTCTGTCCCAGGGCAAAAGGCATGAATAAGTGCTAAACCCACCATTACAGGTGGAGAAGGGGCCTGAGTAATTGTTAAAAAAAGAAAACCTCATCAGATTCTCAGACATAGTGCCTGCATAAGACTTAGACTAAATCAGAACACAAGAGATTATTTCTAAATCTCCCGAGTAGCTGGGATTATAGGCACCTGCCACCATGCCCAGCTAATTTTTGTATTTTTAGTAGAGATGGGGTTTCACCACGTTGGCCAGGCTGGTCTCGAACTCATGCCCTCAGGTGATCCACCCGCCTTGGCCTCCCAAAGTGCTGGCATTACAGGCATGAGCCACCGCACCCGGCCCTCTACTTCCAACAAGAATTGGGTAAAATAATAGGAATACAGAGCATCAAGAGACAAATTCCTTTTGAAGTGCCAATGAAAAGGGAAAAACAATGGGCAAGGGATACCAACAAACAAGTGTCCAGCCAGGGAAGTCTCTTCATGCCCTCAGGCCTGACACCTGCCTCCCCACAGTTAGACACCCAGGGCCCAGCCTAGGAAACCCCTTCCTTTACCTCAGGCAGCAACAGCAGGGTAGCTAGGTGTCTGCAGCAGCACCAGATAAACCAAACACATCAAATCATACCTCAAAGGCTCTGAAAACATAACTACTTTTGAAACCATAGAATAGGCCAAACCTGCATGCCAGAGCTAAATAGAGTGAATGTCTGCTAAAATAAAAGATTTAAATATGACCCATCTTCTCCTAACATAAGTCAAAACAACTAGGATACAATTCAGAATTACCACACAAAGCAAGAAATAAGAAGATAACAGCCTGAGTGAGAAGACAATCAACTGACTACAACACGTAGATGAATCAGTGTTGCAAATTAATGACTTTAACAATTAAGTTAATTTAAGGAATTAAAATTTATTTGAAACAAATTAAAAGTAGAAAATCTCAGAAAATAAATAGAAGTTATAAAAAACAATAAAATGAAAACATTGATAAATTGGACTTGCAGTGGGTTGAATATTGTTTAAAAACAATACAGAATACAGAAACCTCAGAAACCTATGTATGTATGTGGTAAAATTATTTAGAACTAAATACACACACACATGCAAACACATAGATACATACACACAAACACAACAAAGCTGCTGAAACTGGAATAAGATTGATAGATTGTATCAATTCCAGTGTCCTGGTTATGATATTACACTACAGTTTTTAAAAATTTCATCACAGGTGAAAATGTAGTTTACACACGATTTCTCTGTATTGTTTCTTTTAACTGTATGTGAATCTATACTTAAAATTTTAAGAAAAAATTTAATAAAAGTGGGTAAAAGATTTGAAAATAATTCAAAAAAGGAATAGCTTTCAAATATGTTTGACATTATAAGAAATCCAAGAAATGCAAATTTGGAAAATAAAGCCCCGATGCCGTATTACTCTGTAAGTCCTAGAATGATTAGAACTTAAAAGTTTGGCAACACCAACTATTACTGAGGATGCAGAACAATGCATATGGTCTTGGAGAGGATGCAAAAGTGAAGTAGGAGACTAGCAGAATTTGTCTGCTGTTCACAACCCTATTGACTAAAAAAGGATCTGGTTCAGGTGGGATGAAGCAAAGAAACCAGCAGGAATCAGCCAATGGTGACTGAAGGGATCCCCAGCTGCCCTCCTTACTCATTAGCATGACACTCCTACTGGCACCATGATAGTTTACAAACACCGTGACAACAACTCAGAAGTTACCACCCCTTTCCTAGAAAGATCCAAATAACCTGCCCCTCAATTTGCATTGACCCACCCAATAATTTACTTGCAATTGAAAGTGGGTTTACCTGAGTATAAATATAGTTGTTAAGAGCCTGTATGTTACCAACTCTGCGTGCACTGCCTACGAGTTAGCCCTGCTCCACAAGAAGCAGTACTGTTTAATAACAGATTGCTGTCTAACACCACTGCCTTGCCCTTGAATTCTTTCCTGGACAAAGCCAAGAACTCTCCCAAAGCCCCAACTTCAGGGATTACCTGTCTGCAACAAAAGGATACCACAACTTTTGAAAAGGGTTTGAGATTTTCTAATCAGTTAAACCAGTAGTTCTTAACTGTGGGCTAATTTTGCTTCCCAGGAGACATTTGTCAATATCTAGAGTTATTTTCATTTGTCACAACTGGTAGCAGGTGCTACTGGCATCCACTTGGGTAAAGGACCAGGTTGCTGCTAAACATCAGAACTGCTTCCCACAACAAAGAATCATCTGGCCCAAAATGGCAAAGTATTGAGGGTAAATTCCACCCCTACGTGTTAACCAAAATAAATTTTAAAATTATATATTCATAGAATACTTGTACACAAATTTTCATACCAGCTCTACTCATAATAATTTAAAAACATAAAATAGCCCATATGGCCATTGTTAGATTCACAGGAAATTATAGTGTTTTCAAAAAAAAAATCTACTCAGAGATAAAGTGGAATAAATCACTGATACACAAACAACATAAGTTTCAAAAATTTTATGCTGAAAGCCAGACACAAAAGAATACCTACTCTATTCATCCCATTTTTATAAAATTATAGGACAGACAAAATAAATCTATAGTTACATAAGGTAATTCTGTAAATGCCTTCCGTTAAAGTGAGATAATTTACTACAAAGTTGTATGAAGGAACTTTTTGGAGGTATTGCAGGTGTCCTATATGGGCATATCTTGGAGATATTGTGAGATTGGTTTCAGACCACTGCAATAAAGGAAATATCACAATAAAGCGAGTCACACAAATTTTTTGGTTTCTCAGTGCATATAAAAGTTATATTCGGCCAGGTGCGGTGGCTCAAGCCTGTAATCCCAGCACTTTGGGAGTCCGACGCAGGCGGATCACGAGGTCAGGAAATCGAGACCATCCTGGCTAACATGGTGAAATCCCGTCTCTACTAAAAATACAAAAAATTAGCCGGGAGTGGTGGTGAGTGCCTGTAGTCCCAGCTACTCAGGAGGCTGAGGCAGGAGAATGGCGTGAACCCAGGAAGCGGAGCTTGTAGTGAGCCGAGATTGTGCCACTGCACTCCAGCCTGGGCGACAGAGCAAGACTCCACCTCAAAAAAAAAAAGTTATATTCACACTATGCTATAGTCTGTTAAGTGTGTGATAAAATTATAAAAATAACATATACACATTAATTTTAAAATATTCCTAAAAAATGCTAACAGTCATCTGAGCCTCCAGTGAATCATAATCTTTTTGCTGGTGGATGACCTTTCCTCAAAGTTGATGGCTGCTGACTGATGAGGATGGTGGTTCCTGGAGGGCTGGGTGGCGGTGGCAATTTCTTAAATTAAGACAGCAATGAAATTTGCTGCAGCAATTGACTCTCTCTTTCATGAAATATTTCTCTGTAGCATTTGATGCTGTTTGACAGCATTTTATCCACAACAGAACTTTTTTCAATATTGGAGTCAATCCTCTCAAACCTGCCACTGCTTTATCAAGTTTATATAATATTCTAAATCGTTTATTACCATTTGACAATATTACAACATCTTTGCCAGAAGGAGATTCTATCTCAAGAATCTGCTTTCTTTGCTTACCTGTAAGAACCAACTCTTCTTCCATTCAGGTTTTACTATGAGATTTCCACAGGTCAGTCAAATCTTCAAGGTCCACTTCTAGTGCTATTTTTCTTGCTATTCCCATTACATGGAGTTTATTTTTCCACTGATGTCTTGAATCTGTAAATGTCATTTATTAGAGTTAAAATTAACATCTTGCAAATTCTTGTTAATTTTGATATTTTGACCTTCTCTCATGAATCATTAATGTTCTTAATGGTACCTATGTGTCCGGAATTGGTAGGTTCTTGGTCTCACTGACTTTAAGAATGAAGCCGCGGACCCTCGCGGTGAGTGTTACAGCTCTTAAGGTGGCGCGTCTGGAGTCTGTCCCTTCTGATGTTCAGATGTGTTCGGAGTTTCTTCCTTCTGGTGGGTTCGTGGTCTCGCTGGTTCAGGAGTGAAGCTGCAGACCTTTGCGGTGAGTGTTACAGCTCTTAAGGCAGCACGTCTGGAGTTGTTCGTTTCTCCCGGTGGGCTTGTGGTCTCGCTGGGCTCAGGAGTGAAGCTGCAGATCTTCGCGGTGAATGTTACAGCTCATAAAAGCAGCGGGGACCCAAAGAGTGAGCAGTAGCAAGATTTACTGCAAAGAGCAAAAGAACAAAGCTTCCACAGTATGCAAAGGGACACAAGCGGGTTGCCGAGGCAGGCTGGGGCAGCCTGCTTTTATTCTCTTACCTGGCCCCACCCACATCCTGCTGATTGGTAGAGCCGAGTGGCCTGTTTTGTCAGGGCGCTGATTGGTGCATTTACAATCCATGAGCTAGATACAAAGGTTCTCCACGTCCCCATCAGATTAGTTAGATACAGAGTTTTGACACACAGGTTCTCCAAGGCCCCACCAGAGCAGCTAGATACAGAGTGTCCATTGGTGCATTCACAAACCTTGAGCTAAACACAGGGTGCTGATTGGTGTATTTACAATCCCTGAGCTAGACATAAAGGTTCTCCAAGGCCCCACCAGAGCAGCTAGATACAGAGTCTCGATTGGTGCACTCACAAACCTTGAGCTAAACACAGGGTGCTGATTGGTGTGTTTACAATACCTGAGCTCGACATAAAGACTCTCCACGTCCCAACCAGACTCAGGAGCCCAGCTGGCTTCACCTACTGGATCCCGCACCAGGGCTGCAGGTGGAGCTGCCTGCCAGTCCCACCCTGTGCGCTGGCACTCCTCAGCACCTTGGGTGGTCGATGGGACTGGATGCCGTGGAGCAGGGGGTGGTGCTCGTCGGGGAGGCTCGGGCGGCACAGGAGCCCACGGAGGCGGAGCGGGGAGGCTCAGGCATGGCAGGCTGCAGGTCCCGAGCCTTGCCCCGCGGGAAGGCAGCTAAGGCCCGGCGAGAAATCCAGCGCAGCGCCGGTGGGCCGGCACTGCTGGGGGACCCAGTACACCCTCCGCAGCCGCTGGCCCGGGTGCTAAGTCCCTCATTGCCCGGGCCGGCAGGGCCGGCCGGCTGCTCCGAGTGCGGGGCCCGCCAAGCCCACGCCCACCCAGAACTCCAGCTGGCCCGCAAGCGCTGCGCGCAGCCCCGGTTCCTGCTCGCGCCTCTCCCTCCACACCTCCCTGCAAGCTGAGGGAGCTGGCTCTGGCCTTGGGCAGCCCAGAAAGGAGCTCCCTCAGTGCAGCGGCGGGCCGAAGGGCTCCTCAAGTGCCGCCAAAGTGGGAACCCAGGCAGAGGAGGCGCTGAGAGCAAGCGAGGGCTCTGAGGACTGCCAGCACGCTGTCACCTCTCACCTAGAATGGTAAATATTTTCCAGAAGGTTTTTAATTTACTTTGCCTAGATCCAGCAGAGAAATTACAGTCTATAGCCTTATGAAATGCATTTCTTTAATAACAAGATAAAATTTAATAACAAGTCAAAATTACTGTTTGATCTGTAGACTACAGAATGAATGTTGTGTTAGCAGCTATGAAAATCATATGAATCGCCTTGTACAACTCTATCAGAACTCTTGGGTTACCAGATGTATCATCAGTGAGCAGTACTATTTTGAAAGGTATATTTTTGTCTGAACAGTAGGTCTGTACAGTGCACTTCAAATATTCAGTAAACCATGCTGCAAACAGATGTGCTGTCATCCAGGCAATGCTGTTTCAATTACACAAGCAGAGTGGGTTTAGCATAGTTCTTAAGGGCCCTAGGATTTTTGAAGTGGTAAATGAGCATGTTTCAACTTAAACTTGCCAGCTTTGGTAGCCCCTAACAAGAGTCATCCTGTTCTTTGAAGCTTTGAAACCAGGCATTGGCTTCTCTGCTTTAACTCAGAAAGTCCTAGATGGCATCTTGTTTCAGAACAAGGCTGTTTCATTTATATTTAAAATACGTAGTTTATTGTAGCCACCGTCATCAATGATCTTAGTAGCTAGATCTTCTGGATAATTCGCTGCAGCTTCTACATCAGCAGTTGATGCTTCATCTTGTGCTTTTATATAGAAAGATGGTCTTTTTCTTTAATACTCATGAACCAACCTCTGGTGGCTTCCAACTTTTCTTCTGCAGCTCCCTCACCTGTCTCAGCTTTTAATAGAATTGAAGAGAATTGGGGCTGTCCTCTGGACTCTGGCTTACAGGAATGTTGTTGCCGCTTTGATCATCTATCCAGACCTCTAAAACTTTCCCCATACCAGCAACAAGGCTGTTATGCTTTCTTATCATTCATGTATTTACTGGAGTAGCACTTTTAATTTCCTTCAAGAACTTTTCCTTTGCATTTGCAACTTGGCTAACTTTGGTGCAAGAGGCCCAGCTTTCAGCCTACCTCAGCTTTTGTATTTAATGTCACTTAATCATTTCTGGCTTTTGATTTAAAGTAACAGGCGTGCATCTCTCCCTTTCACTTGAACACTTAGAGGCCATTGTAATGTTATTAATTGGTTTAATATAAATATTGTTTTATCTTAGAGAATAGAGAGGCCTGAGAAGAGGGAGAGAGAAAGGGAAATAGCCAGCTAGTGGAGCAGTCAGTTATATGCGTGCAGCCTGTGGTGTCCCAAAACAATTTCAATACTAATCAAAGAATGCTGATCACAGATCACCATAACAGGTCTAAGAATAGTGAAAAAGTTTTGAAATATTGTGATAATTACCAAATTGTGATGCAGAGACACAAAGTGAACACATACTGATGGAAAAATGGTGCTGATAGACTTGCTCTATGCAGGGTTACAACAAACCTTTAATTTGTAAAAAATGTAATATCTGTGAAGAGCAATAAAGAGAAGTGCAATTACATGAAGTATGTCTGTATATCGCTTCTGGTGCTAGTTACTAAGTTGTATATCATTATAAAAATGCCTCTAACTGTGCAATTCAAAAAGAGTGTTTTATTTGATGTACTCTATTCATAAATGCAGTTTATTATAACACAGTGGATCTTTGTTCAGGAATAGTAATGGATGGACAAATAAAATTAACAGGATTAACTAGCATTCTCTAAGAGGGCTTTGGTATCTCCCCTGTCCAATATAGAAACTCTTTTCATACTACCTCCTCTCCTGTTTTTTTTTTTTGGTAGCATTCATCTAAGTGCTTATTGTTTGTATATCCACTAGCACATTAGTTGCACAAAGTTAAGACCTTTTTTATATGTATATAGCCACTGTATCGCTAACACTGTCAATAGTGTCTGACATTCAATAGATGCTCAGTGATTATGTGTTGAACAGATAAACACGTGTATGAAGTTTCATTGCTCCATGAGGTCTTTCTGAATACTTCCAGGCTACAGTACTGCCCTACATGGTGCCTCCATAGGACCATAGTATATAAGTACAACTTTGCCTATTTTAACTTCCATCTCTTTGTATTTTCAATTTTTGTCTGTTTAATTCCCTCATGGGCTGCATTCCTTGAATTCAGGGATTATGCGTTTACATCCTTTAACTCCCTGCACTTCATAGAATCCTCAGTATAGTCAGCCCACAATAAGTTTCAATTCAGTAAGTAAAGGAATGGTTTTTACAAATAAGAAAATAGAGCCTCAGAGTTAATTAAATGACTCTCTGAATCCCATATTTGCACAGTTAAATTATTATTTTTTCTTAAAATTATTTGTTTTTATGGTGTACTCTCATTAGGAAACAGAAGTAATGGAGGAAATAGCATTGAATCTTAATTTTGTTTTTAGAGCCAATAATATCCACTGTAACGCTCAGAGGATGAACATACAAAATTAGCATTTTCCACAAAGCATCTCATACAACTATTGTTTTGTGGAACATAGTTTTGGAAATTTAGACCTAAAAGTTAGGAAAAGCAGTATTGGTACCTTTGTGCCAGGCACAGTACTAGGGTTTTACATATGTGATTGTATTTAATACTTTCAAAAATTCTGAATCAAGAGTTTTCTCCATTTTTGGGATAATATAATTAAAGCTGAGAGGAGTTAAATTGACTGTAGGCTCAAAGTCAGCAAATGGAAAGCTAGGATTTGAATCTAAGTCTCTTTCATTTTAATACCTATGTGCTTTCTATTTTATTCTGTGATCTTCTATAGATGACATGCCCACAAAATCAATGTATTATTCATGTAAAAAGAAACAGTTGAACTTTCCCCAGTTTCTTCAAAAAGCATCATGAGATATTTTATAAAATTCTAGTTTAAAAAGATGTGTACTTAGAAAGACATTGACCTAAGGAAAGGGCTTTTTGTTCTCTTGGTCTCATAATTAACAAAACTTTTAATATAAATCCATTATCTGTTCCCTTCTTGAATATGATTCCCAAAACTTCTTTTCAGACATCTATATTGACTAATTCATTTAATACTAAGCACTTGATATTACATAATCTCTGCCTGTATTTATTACCAAACACTAAGACAAATGTATACCTGATTTCCATAACAAAATGGTAACTTCCTCAATAATAGATCTGCCATTTCCTGACAAGGAAACATTGAGCCACATATGCCAATTTCCTCTACAAATGAATCCGAAGAGATTTGAGACATAATCAGTTTGGGCCATAAATACCAAATTATCAGAAATCAATTAGATAATAAATATTCCAAATTGTTCTTATATTAAAATATATCCAAATGTATTTGCTAAATAGTAATGATTACAAATATTATCAAAGCAAAGGTGTTCATTGCGCATTTGATAAAGTGATAACTTCCATCACCCATAGATTATGGCAGTCTATCAACACCAGATCCCAAGGTATGATATTCCTCCTTAGTGTTCACACCCTGCCTTCGTGCTATCACCTTGATAATCAGAAGCTCTTGTTGCCTAAAGGTATCTCCAGTTTTTCACATCTGAATGTCTGGGTGAGGTTACAGATTTTAAGAATTTACCAGGGTCAATTTGTAGGCAAGTGATTCTTCTAGTGTTGATTTTGCAAGCGAAATATGAACATCATTTACTTCTATGGTGTTTTGAAGTCATGCCATTAAAAATTCATCTGGCAAATCTAATATGAGAAAACAAGAGCAAGAAGAGCAATGAATTGCAATGAAAAAAATTGGCAGAGTAATAAATAAGCATGACAGGTCAGACTTCAATTTACATAAATAGTTTTGCCAAAGATGGTTTAAAAGGGCAGTTGCTTGTTCCTGCATTATTTGTGGTGATGCTTCTCCCTTTCAGTTCTAAATTTCTGTAGCAGAGACAAAAGAAATTATGGGTTTTTTCCAGGACAAATAATCAAGATTTATCCTCTACATTCTTCAAAGAAGATGAAGACAAACTATGCATCTTCCTTTTTTTATAGCAACTACATCTCAAACAGGTATACGAATTCTTTCATAAACTTCAGATAGCTTGTATATAATTACTCCTTTATCAGAATTAATGCAATCCATATTCAGAAAAAATGAAACTAATAAAAATAACAATTCAAATTCACATTAGGGAATCATTAAAAATAAAACTTTTTCTTTCCTATTCTAGTTAGTGCCAATTATATTCTTCAGGTCTGTTCTGAGAAAAATCTTAGAAACAACTCCTGCTGCTCGCTCATCCCAACATACCTAATAGGGCATAAATTCTCCACACCTTGTATATCTCTACAATCTTTTCCTTTTTTTCCCCCCTTTCTCCAACTTCATTGCGGCATAGTTGACAATTGATAAAATGTACATATTTAAGGTCTACAGCTCAATGGTTTCATATACATATACATGGTGAAATAGTAAGCAAACTCAAGCTAATTAGCTTATCCATTACCTCACATATTTACCACTTTGTGAGTGCAGTAAGAAAACTTATATTTACTCTGTTAGCAGTTTTCAAGTGTACAATATTGTTAACTATATATAGTCACATTGTTGTACATTAGATCACCAGAATGTATTTATGTCGCATAACTGAAAGCTTTTACCCTTTGACCAACATGGTTCCATATCCCACCTCCCCAGTCCCTATTAACCACCATTCTACTCCCTATTTCCATGATTTTGACATTTTTATATTTCACCTACATATCAGTGACACTATGTAGCATTTGTCTTTTTGTATCTGGCTTATTTAACATAATATAATGTCCTCCAAGTTAATCCATGTTGTCACAAACAGCAGGATGCTTTTTCTTTTATAAGCAAAGACATGTTTCATTGTGTGTTGGGGGAGGGGCGTGTGTGTGCGTACATCAATTTAAAAAAATTATTCACCATTAACAGACACTTATATTGCTTCCATAATTAGGCAATTATGAATAATTCTGAAATGAACATGAGAAAACAGACATCTTTCTGAAATACTGATTTTATTTCCTTCAAAAATATACCTAGAAGTGGGACTGCTGGATTGTAAGCTAGTTCTAGTTTTAATTTTTTTAGAAACCTCCATTCAGTTTTTTTATAATGGCTGTAACAATTAAAGTCCCACCAAACTGTAAAAGAGTACACAGATCCTCACCAATACTTGTTTCCTTTTGGTTTTTGAATAGTCATTCTAATATGTGTAAAATAATATCCCATTGTGGTATATATATATATATTTATATATATGTTTATATATTTTTATACATATATTTCTCTCTCTCTCTCTCTCTCTCTCTCTTAAGTTCTGGGATACAGTTGCAGAATGTGCAGGTTTGTTACATAGTTATACATGTGCCATGGTAGTTTGCTGCACCCATCAACCCATCATCTGCATTAGGTATTTCCTCTAATGTTATCCCTCCCCTTTACCTCACCCTCCAAGAGGCCCCAGTGTGTAATATTCCCCTCCATGTGCCCATATGTTCTCATTGCTCAACTCCCATTTATGAGTGAGAACATGTGGTGTTTGGTTTTCTGTTCCCGTGTTAGTTTGCTGAGAATGATGGTTTCCAGCTTCGTCCATGTCCCTGCAAAGGACATGAACTCATTCTTTGTTTATGGCTGCATAGTATTCCATGGTGTATATGTGCCACATTTTCTTTATCCAGTCTATCATTGATAGGCATTTGGGTTGGTTCCAAGTCTTTGCTATTGTGAATAGTGCCGCAGTAAACATACATGTGCATGTGTCTTTATTGTAGAATGATTTATAATCCTTTGGGTATATACCCAGCAATGGGATTGCTGAGTCAAATGGTATTTCTAGTTCTAGATCCTTGAGGATTCGCCACACTGTCTTCCACAATGGTTGAACTAATTTACACCCCCATCAACAGTGTAAAAGCGTTCCTATTTCTCCACATTCTCTCCAGCATCTGTTGTTTCCTGACTTTTTAATGATCGCCATTCTAACTGGCGTAAGATAGTATCTCATTGTGGTTTTGATTTGCATTTCTCCAATGACCAGTGATGATGATCTTTTTTTCATATGTTACTTGGCCTCATAAATATCTTCTTTTGAAAAGTATCTGTTCATATCTTTTGCCCACTTTTTGATGAGGTTGTTTTTTTCCTGTGAAATTTGTTTAAGTTTCTTGTAGATTCTGGATATTAGCCCTTTGCCAGATGGATAGATTGCAAAAATTTTCTCCCATTCTGTAGGTTCACTCTGATGACAGTTTCTTTTGCTGTGCAGAAGCTCTTTAATTTAATTAGACCCCATTTGTCAATTTTGGCTTTTGTTGCAATTGCTTTTGGTGTTTTAGTCATAAAGTCTTTGCACATGCCTATATCCTAAATGGTATTGCCTAGATATTCTTCTAGGATTTTTATGGTTTTATGGTTCTAGGTCTAACATTTAAATCTTTACTCCATCTTGAGTTAATTTTTGTACAAGGTGTAAGGAAGGGATCCAGTTTCAGCTTTCTACATATGGCTAGCCAGTTTTCCCAGCACCATTTATTAAATAGGGAGTCCTTTCCCCATTGCTTGTTTTTATCAGGTTTGTCAAAGATCAAACGGTTGTAGATGTGTGGTGTTATTTCTGAGGCCTCAGTTCTGTTCCATTGGTCTATATATCTGTTTTGGTACCAGCACCGTGCTGTTTTGGTTGCTATAGCCTCAAACTATACTGTAGTATAGTTTGAAGTCAGGTAGCATGATACCTCCAGCTTTGTTCTTTTTGCTTAGGATTGTCTTAGCTGTACTGGCTCTTTTTTGGTTCCATGTGAAACTTAAAGTAGTTTTTTCTAATTATGTGGAGAAAGTCAATGGTAGCTTGATGAGAATAGCATAGAATCTATAATTACTTTGAGCAGTATGGCCATTTTCATGATACTGATTATTCCTATCCATGAGCATGGAATGTTTTTCCATTTGTGTCTTGTCTTATTTCCTTGAGCAGTGGTTTGTAGTTCTCCTTGAAGAGGTCCTTCACATCCCTTGTAAGTTGCATTCCTAGGTATTTTATTCTCTTTGTAGCAATTGTGAATGGGAGTTCTCTCATGATTTGGCTCTCTGTGTGTCTATTATTGGTGTATAGGAATGCTTGTGATTTTTGCACATTGATTTTGTATCCTGAGACTTTGATGATGTTGCTTATCAGCTTAAGGAATTTTTGGAGTGAGACTAAGGGGTTTTCTAAATATACAATCATGTCATCTACAACAGAGAAAATTTGACTTCCTCCCTTCCTATGTGAATACCTTTATTTCTTTCTCTTACCTGATTGCCCTGGCCAGAACTTCCAAAACTATGCTGAATAAGAGTGGTAAGAGAGGGCATCTTTGTCTTGTGCCAGTTTTCAAATAGAATGCTTGCAGCTTTTGCCTATTCAGTATGATATTGGCTGTGGGTTTGTCATAAATAGGTCTTACTATTTTGAGAGACATTTCATCAATACTTAGTTTGTTGAGTGTTTTTAGCATGAAAGGGTGTTGAATTTTCTTTTTCTTTTTCTTTTTTGTTTTGAAACAGAGTTTTGCTTTTGTTGACCAGGATGGAGTGCAATGGCGTGATCTCGGCTCACCACAAATTCTGCCTCCCAGTTTCAAGTGATTCTCCTGCCTCACCCTCCCGAGTAGCTGGGATTACAGGCATGCGCCACCACACCTGGCTAATTTTGTATTTTTAGTAGAGATGGGGTTTCTCCATGTTGGTCAGGGTGGTCTGGAATTCCCAACCTCAGGTGATCCGCCCACTTCGGCCTCTCAAAGTGCTGGGATTGTAGGCGTGAGCCACTGCACCCAGCCGAAGGGGTGTTGAATTTTACTGAAGGCCTTTTCTGCATCTATTGAGATAAGTATGTGGTTTTCCTTACTGGCTCTGTTTCTGTGATGGATTATGTTTATTGATTTGCATATGTTGAAGCAGCCTTGCATACCAGGGATGAAGCCGACTTGATGGTGGTGGATAAGCTTTTTAATGTGCTGCTGGATGTGGTTTGCCCATATTTTATTAAGGATTTTCATGTCAATGTTCTTCAGGGATATTGGCCTGAAATTTTCTTTTTTTCTTGTGTCTCTGCCATGTTTTCGTATCAGGAAGAAGCTGGCCTCATAAAAGGAGATAGGGAGGAGTCCCTCTTTTAACATTATTTGGAATAGTTTTAGAAGGAATGGTACCAGCTTCTCTTTGTACCTCTGGTAAAATTCGGCTGTGAATCCATCTGGTCCTGGGCTTCTTTTGGTTGGTAGGCTATTAATTACTGCCTCAATTTCAGAACTTGTTATTGGTCTATTCAGGGATTCAAGTTCTTCCTGGTTTAGTCTTGGGAGGGTGTTTGTGTCCAATAATTTATCCATTTCCTCTAGATTTTCTAGTTCATTTTCGTAGAGGTGTTTATAGTATTCTCTGACGGTAGTTTGTATTTCTGTGGGATCAGTGGTGATATACCCTTTATCATATTTTATTGGGTCTATTTGATTCTTCTCTCTTTTCTTCTTTATTAGTCTGGCTAGTGGTCTATCTATTTTGTTAATCTTTTCAAAAAACCAGCTCCTGGATTCATTGATTTTTTGAACGGTTTTTCGTGTCTCTATCTCTTTCAGTTCTGCTTTGATCTTAGTTATTTCTTGTCTTCTGCTAGCTTTTGAATTTGTTTGCTGTTGCTTCTCTAGTTCTTTTAATTGTGATATTAGGGTGTCGATTTTAGATCTTTCCTGCTTTCTGATGTGAGCATTTAGTGCTGTAAATTTCCCTGTAAACACTGCTTTATCTGTATCCCAGAGATTCTAATAATGTTGTGTGTCTTTGTTCTTATTGGTTTCAAAGAACTTCTTTATTTCTGCCTTAATTTCGTTATTTATGCTGTAGTCATTCAGGAGCATGTTGTTCAGTTTCTATGTAGTTGTGCAGTTTTGAGTGAGTTTCTTAATTCTGTGTTCTAACTTGATTGCACTGTGGTCTGAGAGACTTTCTTATTATTTCCATTCTTTTGCATTTGCTGAGGAGTGTTTTATTTCCAATTATGTGGTCAATTTTAGAATAAGTGTGAAGCGGTGCTGAGAAGAATGTATATTCTGTTGATTTGGGGTGGAGAGTTCTGTAGATGTCTATTAGCTCCACTTGGTCCAGAGCTGAGTTTAAGCCCTGAATATCCCTGTTAATTTTCTGTCTTGTTGATATGTCTAATATTGACAGTGGGGTATTAAATTCTCCCACTATTATTGTGTGGGAGTCTAAGTCTCTTTGTAGGTCTCTAAGAACTTTCTTTATGAATCTGGGTGCTCCTGTATTGGGTGCATATATATTTAGAATAGTTAGCTCTTCTTGTTGTGTTGATCCCTTTACCATTGTGTAAAGGGATGCCTTCTTTGTCTTTTTTTATCTTTGTTGGTTTAAAGTCTGTTTTATCAGAGACTAGGATTGCAACCCCTGCATTTTTTTTTTTTGCTTTCCATTTGCTTGGTAAATATTCCTCCATCTCTTTATTTTGAGCCTATGTGTGTCTTTGCACGTGAGATGAGGATCTTGAATATAGCACACTGATTGGTCTTGACTCTTTATCCAATTTGCCAGTATGTGTCTTTTAATTGGGGCACTTAGCCCATTTACAATTAACGTTAATATTGTTGTGTGTGAATTTGATTCTGTCATTATGATGCTAGCTGGTTATTTTGCCCATTGGTTGTGGCAGTTTCTTTATAGTGTCGATAGTCATTACATTTTGGTTTGTTTTTACAGTGGCTGGTACCGGTTTTTCCTTTCCATGTTTAGTGCTTCCTTCAGGAGCTCTTGTAAGGCAGGCCTGGTGTTGACAAAATCCCTCAGCATTTGCTTGTCTGTAAAGGATTTTATTTCTCCTTCACTTATGAAGCTTAGTTTGGCTGGATGTGAAATTCTGGTTAAAAATTATTTTCTTTAAGAATGTTGAATATTGGCCCCCACTCTCTTCTGGCTTGTAGGGATGCTGCACAGAGATTCACTGTTAGTCTGCTGGGCTTCCCTTTGTGGGTAACCTGACCTTTCTCTCTGGCTGCCCTTAACATTTTTTCCCTTAATTTCAACCTTGTGAATCTGATGATTATGTGTCTTGGGTTGCTCTTCTCAAGGAGTATCTTCGTAGTGCTCTCTGGTGTCTTGCAAGGTTGGGGAAGTTCTCCTGGATAATATCCTGAGTGTGATTTCCAACTTGGTTCTATTCTCCCCATCACTTTCAGGTACACCAATCAAATGTAGGTTTGGTCTTTTCACAAAGTCCCATGTTTCTTGGAGGCTTTGTTCATTCCTTTTCATTCTTTTTTCTCTAATCTTGTCTTCTTCCTTTATTTCATTAAGTTGATCTTCAATCTCTGATATCCTTTCTTCTGCTTGAGGGATTTGGCTATTGATACTTGTGTATGCTTCATGAAGTTCTCGTGCTATGTTTTTCAGCTCCATCAGGTCATTTATGTTCTTCCCTAAACTGGTTATTCTCATTAGCACTTCCTGTAACTTTTTATCAAGATTCTTAATGTCCCTGCATTGAGTTAGAACATGCTCCTTTAGCTCAGAGGAATTTATTATTACCTACCTTCTGAAGCCTGCTTCTGTCAATTTGTCAAACTCATTCTCCATTCAGTTTTGTTCCCTTGCTGGCAAGGAACTGTGATCCTTTGGAGAAGGAGAGACATTCTGGTGTTTGAAATTTTCAGGATTTTTGCACTGGTTTTTCCTCATCTTCATGGATTTATCTACCTTTGGTCTTTGATGTTGGTGACCTTCAGATGGTGGTTTTGCTTGGTCATCCTTTTTGTTGCTGTTGATGCTACTGCTGTCTGTTAGTTTTCCTTCTAACAGTCGGGCCCCCCTTCTGCAGGTCTGCTGGAGTTTGCTGGAGGTCCACTCCAGACCCTGTTTGCCTGGGTATCACCAGCAGAAGCTGCAGAACAGCAAAGATTGCTATGGGCTCCTTCCTCTGGAAGTTTTGTCCCAGAGGGGCATCAGCCAGATGCCACCTCGAGCCACCCCTATATGAGGTGTCTGTCTACCCCTGCTGGGAGGTGGCTCCCTGTCAGAAGGCACAGGGGTCAGGGACCCACTTTAGGAGGCAGTCTGTCCCATAGCAGAGCTTGAGCACTGTGTGGGAGATCCACTGCTCTCTTCAGAGCTGGGAGGCAGGAATGTTTAAATCTGCTGAAGCTGTGCCCACAGCTTCCCCCAGGTGCTCTGTCCCAGGGACATGCGAGTTTTATCTATAAGCCCCCAGCTGGGGCTGCTGCCTTTCAGAGATGCCCTGCCCAGAGAGGAGGAATCTAGAGAGGCAGTCTGGCTACAGTGGCTCCACTTAGTCTGAATTTCCCAGAGGCTTTGTTTACACTGTAAGGGAAAACCACCTACTCAAGCCTCAGTAATGGCAGACTCCCCTCCCCGAACCAAGCTGGAGTGTCCCAGGTCAACTTCAGGCGTCTGTGCTGGCAGTGAGAATTTCAAGCCAGTGGGTCTTAGCTTGCTAGGCCCCATGGGGGTGGTATCTGCTGAGCAAAAACAGTTGGCTCCCTGGATTCAGCCCCCTTTCCAGGGGAGTGAACAGTTCTGTCTCATTGGCATTCCAGGTGCCACTGGGGTACGAAAAAAAACTCCTCCAGCTACCTCGGGTGTCTGCCCAAATGGCCGCCTAGTTTTGTGCTTGAAACCCAGGACCCTGGTGGTGTAGGCACTTGTGGGAATCTCCTGGTCTGCGAGTTGCAAAGACAGTGGGAAAAGCATAGTATCTGGGCCCACCGTCACTCACTCACGGCTTCCCTTGGCTAGGTGGGGGAGTTCCCTGACCCCTTGAACTTCCTGGGTGATGCCCCACCCTCCTTCTGCTCACCCTCCATGGGCTGCACCCACTGTCTAACCAGTCCCAATGAGATGAGCCGGATAGCTCAGTGGAAAGTGCAGAAATCACCTGCCTTCTGCATTGGTCTTGCTAGGAGCTGTAGACCAGAGCTATTCCTATTCAGCCATCTTGCCCAAGAATCAGTTTTGCTTTATTTTTTCATGAAGATTAGTAAGTTCAGTACATTTTCACATACCTACTTACAATTGGTATGTACTTTTTTGAGAAATGTCAATTTAAATTCTTTGCATAATTTTAATTGAGTTATTTGGGTATTTTTGCTATTGAGTTGCATGAGTTCTTTATTCTTTTAGGATATTAACCCTTTGTTAGATATATATTTTGTAAACATTTTCTCCTATTCTGTGGGTTATCTTTTTTCTCTGTTGATTATGTCCTTTTTTGGGCAGAAGCTTTATAGTTTGATGTAACCCCATTAATCTAGTTTTGCATTTGTTTCCAAAAAATCATTGTCAGCCTTGCACCCACCTGTAGGTAAATGTTTTTTCTCACCAAAACAAGTCTTTAAAATCTGGAGGAAGTGACTGCTTCCTCAAATGCAAAGCCTCCATATAAATTTTGTTATATAGGTATCAGCCTCTTCTATTAACTCATCAAAGTGACACTAAGCAGAAGATTTGATATTTGTAATGAAGAAACATATTACTAGTGTTGATTGTTATCAGGAAATTTACCATAGCTTAAAACTGTGATATACAAGAATGAAGAATTGGATAGGGGTTCAAGCAACTTGATTTTGTTTGGGTCCCTTTTGTGCTATCAACTTTGTATTGGAATTTGCACAAATCACTTCTTTCTGTGAATGAGTTTACTATCAACTGGAGAACGTAGATAATTTTAGGATACTTTCCATGATGATATTTTATTATTTAGTTTTTCTGCTCTTTATAGCATTGACTTATTTTATTTCATTTCAGCCTCAACAATTCCCATTAGTAACAGTTGAAGAAAAACAATGACAACAACAAATAGCCAAGTGAACAGTTTTCACATCTTCCTGCACATACTTTAGTAGAAGCATTAAGTCTTTTATTCGAACTCAGAAAACTCTTAATGATTCTTCTCAGAAACAAGGGACAGAGTATACAACTTTTTTTATCAGATTTTCATCAGATTATTTTCAGAGTATTATCAGATTTAGTAGCCAACCTGATTCTGTAAAAAATATTTTAGCAAATCACAAATCAACACTAATATATATATATATACACACACACACATACATACATACACACATATATATACATATAAAACATCCCACAAGATTTAATCTTGTTATTAAAAAAATACACCTCACAAAAATATTAAATAGCTGAATAGAAGGTTTCTTTACGTATATTCTCTTTCCTAGATAATAGCTTCCAAATTTGCCAAAGTGTGATTTTCTTATGTTACATTCACAGACAATGTTACTATAATTTTCTCTGAATGAGTCTTATTCTGAAAAATACCCATATATTAACAGCAATTGTACATCAGATATTTCAGTTTCATTTTTCCTTCAGATAAGCTGAGGGTATTATAATGTTTTAAATAAAAACTTTCTTCATATTCTCCTTACTAGTATGTTATTCAAAACCATGTCTTTATGAGCTGCAGTATTTTATTTCAGCCTTTTACATGGTATTGAGTTTGTCAGCTACCAGACTAAACTATCCATGAGTTACTATGTTCCACAGATTATAATTTCTAAATGAGATTTCCTCACCCCAGATTTTCAGAAATCATAAAAAAATCTGCCTCTATAGTATTTTTCCTTTTCACCATTGCTCAACATCACTGTTTCCTTTTTATATAATAAAGTAAAATCATAAAGTCACATATATTAACACTAACAATGACTTTAACACTTTTCAGGTTCAATGTTTTTTATTTTATATATTAGAAAACTGTGTGTCTCCATGGGTGAGTAACCACTTTCAAGGTCACAAAAAGAACATGCTTTTTAGTCATGATGGCACCTCCAGAAAAGATATTTAGATATCCATCCTTGAATTTTGCTTCTCATCCTCAAAAGCTTTCATATTCATTAGTGTCAACTGACATAGAGCCATAAAGTAGACTCAAGCAATCTAAAATACTTTTAGAAAAGGGAATGCCAAAACATTATTTTAAGACAATAACCATAGCCCTCTGGTGAATTAAACTCATAGAGCCCTCTTTTCACCCTGTTCTGGCCAGTTGAAATTTCCTCTGATTCATAATATAGAAGTTTGACTTCTCTTATCTGTTGGAAGAAATGCCTTCATGCTCACAAAGTTAGAGTTCTCCCTCAGACTCCCATAGGACACAAAGCAGTTTTTATTTTAATTCTTCACAAATGTAGTGAGCCTAAGAGGATATGTTCATAAATACTTCATTGTATTTAGCTGTACCTTAAATAATAAATAAGTTTGGTTTATTGAATTTTCTTTTCTGAACATGAGGCCCATTTCTTCCATTATAAAACAGGTTTTAAAAAGTTGATTTTTCTCTCCTAGCATCCATCCAGAATTCTCAATGAGTTAAGAGTCTCCAATTTAAACTGATTAAATGAGAGCAAACAAATTTAAATCAAAGCTGAATTTTAGGCTCATGACAGATATTCTAGAAATGGCTCATGACAGGTGTTTCAGTACTGGCCTATGGCAGGTGTTCCAGAACTGGTATCTATACATAGTTATTTGGATGATCTACATCTTTATATAGTTTATCAGAAATTCCATATTTATGCATATAGTTACTGTGTGAGATAATAGTAGACATTAAGATTAAAAGCTAGGCATTGTGTTTTTGTTTCAGACATCAGACATTCTGTTGGACTATAGTACAGTTAATATTTATATTTTCCCATATGTTCATCTATAAAATGATGCCAAGAGCATTGATTTTACTTGCCATGTATGGATTTCATGAGTAAGGCTATAGGTCTACTATATGTAAGAGTGCTTAACCTATAAAAAACAGTTATAATAAGCTGTCCTATTAGCTGTTTGTGTTAAAGAGCAAGATATCACTGGAACTTTGTGTTATTATATGTGAAGTGAATAAATTAAGATTTGGCTCACCTGAGTTTTATGACGAGAAAATGAAATACAGAATTAAAACATCTATATCAATAATGGATATTTTATGTTTATGTGTGTGCAGGTGCATGTCTGTATGAAGCATACACATATAATACATTACACATGATTACATTTATATGGAATATTTATAATATATGTAGATATATAATATAATGCATACACATAAATACATATATACTTATAGAAACATACACACAAGAATACTATGTATGTGATGCAAGGATTTTTGGGAAACTATAAAAAGCTCTTTGAATTTGAATTGTTAACCAAATTTAATACAATTTTTTGGGCGATGTTCGTATTAACATAGTAAAAAAGAAAAAGAATACTAGTCCAAAAATGACAATAAATGTACAGACAGCATTCAGTAAGATGAAAAGAAGCCTTTTGATTGAATAACGTAGATAAGAAGTTTTATTAGTAACCAAGCTTAAAGGAAAAAAATTCATTATTTGACCAATATTAAATATTTCAGAAGATGCAAAGAAACATCAGTCTCATTTATTCAGTTAATGAATACAGTTTGGCCAATTGTTCTGACTGGAAAACAAATTCACTTTATGGCTTTTAAAAAGCAAATGTTTCTAAACAGTGTTTATTGGAGATTTGGTAATCTTACTTTTACCTCTGAAATCCTACAAAGAGAAACTAACTGATCAAGTTTCAATTCAGGCAACATCTATTAGCATCATAAGCTCTGCTAAACTCATCCCTATTTATCATAAGCATCTATTTATCATAAGCATGTATTAGCATCATAAGCTCTGCTAAACACATCCCTTTGTATGTGACACCTATTATTTAAAATATTTCATTTTGACTCAAAAGAAAAGAAAACCCATACAAGTGTCAGCCCATGGTTCAACCAGCACAGGAATATATTTCAGACAGGGCATCAGTAGCTTTGGCTGAGGCTAAATTTGCCATCTTCTTTGTGTTCTGTCCTATGTTATATGCAAATATTGCTTTGTCTCTCTGAAAATGTTTTCATTATGGTATTATTCAAGTTGTTTACAATTTTCTGGGCCTATGTTGCTTAAACTATAAAATTATTTAATAACTGTTAATGGCATGAAATAACACTTTGTATACTCTTGTACTTTGCATCACAAACTCAAGAATTGCAAGAATTCATGTTGTTTACTGGTGAAAAGGTAAATTTCCATTTGAAACGTGAGCTTCTGTGATATAATTTCTCTAACTTAAAGATGCCCTTTATTTCTATTAAATAGCTCACCTTAACCATTCAAAAATATTTTTAGTACTTTTCAATTCATGAATATTATTTTCTCTGTTATGTAAAGAGAAAAAGTTATTACTAAATATTACTCTAAATTTAATCTAAACAGAACCTTTGTGCTAAAACAGATATGGTCAAAAACCCTTTCCTTTGCTTTCCTCTAGCCTCTGCCTGAAGAGTACTTTGGGACTTTGTTAAGACTTCTCAACCCTTTGTATATTACCTGGCTTAATTAATTAGATTTAAAATCTTTGTGGGTTGGGAAAAGACTCAGACAACCAAGCTTTCAGAGTATTAATAATTAGATTTTTTTATTTCTAAAGCTGATAGTCAGGTGATATGCTTTAATATATCCCTACATGTTGTTTAAATATTCAAAACACTTCTATACAAGTTGGTAAATAGCTCATCCTCAAACTCTCACTCACCCTGGTGCTACCACAGGTCTCCCAATCCAAAAATGCCCCATAATCCAGTAACCAATAGAGTAAAAGCTAGCCCACCAGGTCTTTGTTTTAGCACTACACACAGCTTTAGTTCTGATACGTATGTGCCCATTTCACAAATTGTATTGTAAATATCATCTTAATTACTTTCCACTTACAGTGACCCCTTCAAATATTCAAGGGAAGTGTAAGTGAAAGGTTTTGTACCCAAAATCTTGTTATTTTGTTTCAATTAAAGCCCAGGAAACGTGCTCAACAAGTCTTTAAGAGTTATTCTTCAAGCAGACACCAATCATTAAAAGAAAGAGGAGAAAGAAGAAAAGTAGGACAGAGAGAAGAAGAAAGAGGAAGGAGGAGACCTAGACAGGCTCCTAGAAGGGCTGGTGACTGCTGTCAATTCCTCCACTGTTAGAGAAATAGTCTTAATAAATCTTGTACAATGATAACCTTAAATCTTATCCCATTATCTACCAGATTATGATTGTTTGCCTACCATCAGTCAACTGACCCTGGAGGTACAACTATTTACCAAATATTATCAAAATACCTTCAATGACATGAAAAAGGTCATTTGAAATTTGATGAGATAATTCTAATTTTAAACAATATTAACTTTACATTTATACATATATTAGAAGAAACAATGCACCCATTAGTCCCAGTCAAGGTGAAAGATCCCACTCTAATGAGATATTACATCAGGCAGAGGGTAAAATTACCCCGAGGAATAAATATTTCCTGAGAATAAAAATGGAAACTATGCAACACAGGACTATTGGAATTCATTCATTCCAATTGCGTGGCAACAGACTGAAAAACATCCTCGTGACATTTATGTATGGGCGAACACTTTGTGAATTTTTGGCATAAAAAGCATTAATGGATTATGTCAGAGATGAAGAAAATTGGTAGTAGATATAAATTCATAAAATATAGACTTATAAACATTGTACCACTTAAGTATCCCCCAATCTATATCCCAAATTTTACAATAAAATTAATGAAGCTCAGAAGTGATTTACCCATGATCACATCTGCAGTAATTATTTTGATGATTCATGTTTATTTAAAATGTGTTATTTTGAGTTTTAGAAACTTGACTTAGACATATTTTAGTGGTGCCATCTTTGCTCTGTCTTAGGCACTTATTAGGTTGGGGAAGACTTCCTTGACTGGGTTGCCTCAAATATTCTTATTAACAACCATTTCTAAGTTAAAAAAAATACTACAATACCAATTTTATTACCTTAGTATGCATTATATATTCTCATGTATCTGATCAGATTTAGTACCCTAAATTATAGAATTATTAGATGTAGTAAGTTTAATTCATCTCCAGTTGTGAGGCAAGTTGCTATAATTGTTTATAGAATTCTTCTCTAGACATGACAATAGGCAAAGATGACAAGTCATCATAATTCTTCTCTTCATGTGAAAGGAGAAGTACCCTTCTGGGCTTCAGTGATAATTTTCAGGAAATACCTGAAAAGAGTTTTTAAATGGAGATATATCTCAGAAACTTTGCAGTTATCACGTGCTTTATTTTTTCTAATGTGAAATTGAGCATGCTTCCTTAGAGAACAATACAACATTTTTGAGACTTTCTTGAGAACAGTAGTGAGAATGTACAGATTTTCATTTTAACGACTAGATTATTAAAATGAATTTTATTTTAATTACTTATTTTTCTTACCAAATAAGGGAAAATTAAACATATTTTTATGTTTAATTAGTTAGTTAGTAACTAATTACTAGTTAGTTAGTAACTAAACTAACTAGTTTAATTAGTAAGTTTAGTTTAGAAGTGACAAGCCTGTAAAGGAAATTCATATAAGCATCTCTTAGGGAAAAAAAATACCATTAAACCACCCTTCATCTCTATTTCTTCATTTCTGAATATGAAGATAAGAAAACACATGTTTTAGAACAATTTAATGTATCAAAAGATATATTGGTCTTAATGAGGGAAAATTATTGGAGCACAATAAATGCTTAATAAATAACGAATAGTGGTCTTAATTTTTAAGGACATATTTATTAATTAATTGATGCTTTTATTTTGCAGTATGCTAAGTTACTATATATGTTTGTAAAGGTGACAAACCTGTACCACTTAGTATATATTACATAATTCAGTTTTCATACTCATTTAAAATATCTTATCTTCCTATAGTTATTTCTTCCAATTTATTCTTGATTAGGCAGTACAATATGATGGTTAGAAGTGTAAGCTTTAGTAGCAAACTGCATGTGGTAAAATTTTGCTCGACACCAACTGATTTCAGAATTTACCTAACCTCCCTATGCCTGGAATTTTTAATCTGTAAAATAGTGAAAACTATACCATTACCTCATAGAACTGCTTGCAGGACTAAATTAGATAACACATTAATTTATTTAAAATAAGATTTGTCTTGCAGTATCTGCTTGATAGATTTGGTTTATTTACCAATTTCATTTATTTGTATTGATGATTTGCATCATCTAAAATAAAAGAAATAAAAGGCTTTAATGTTAGGAGAGTTCGAAATTTGAGAAATACCTCTGGCCATAAGATCAATTCTATTCATGCAGAGAAAAAGTTGACATAATGGCAAAGCACTGGGCAAACGTGAAGGGATCTCAGTTGTAGAACTGGGTCTTGTGTGTGTTTCAGGAAAAGACTGGAATTGATATGTAGCCTGTAGTACACTTAATACCTAAAAGCTTCCTAGTGTTTGTAATAGTTTAGACGTATGGAAGGAATATAATAGTGACTATTTTTTTTAATCTGATCCATGCTCAACATTTCTGTCAGATTTGCATTGTGTTTGCTAGTTTACATCCTGTCTTCTTCCAAAGACATGTTTAGGGTGACATGCAGGGATCTACAGCATGTAAGTTAGAATAAATTGAATGCGTATAAGAAAGGCAGAAGGAATTCACGGTCTAAAGTCATAAACTTCAACCATGAGGAAAGATAATGTAAAAAACCTACCATATAGTCCTGTCAAACTGCTGGAGATGAGCTACGCATTTGCCTCTAAATATTCCCAAATTCCATATGAAAAAGAAAGCTAATTCCTTGAAAATTAAAATTGGCTTTTTTATTAATTGATACTATTTTTACATTTTAGGGGCAGTTATTTTTGATTTTTTTAAAAACACATAATTTTGGTCGGGTGCGGTGGTTCACGCCTGCAATCCCAACACTTAGGGAGGCTAAGGCAGGGGGATAACTTGAGGCCAGGAGTTCAAGACCAGCCTGACCAACATAGTGAAACCCATCTCTACTAAAAACAACAACAGCAACAACAACAACAACAAAAAATTAGCTGGGCATGGTAGCACACACCTGTAATCCCAGCTACTTGGGAGGCTGAGGAACAAAAATCACTTGAACCTGAGAGATAGAGGTTGCAGTGAGCTGAGACCACGCCACTGCACTCCAGCTTGGGTAATGGAGTAAGACCCTTTCTCAAAGTAAGTAAATAAATAAGTAAAATAATTGTATTATTTGGAAATAAAGATACATTTGCCTCTACTTTGCCAATTATTACACCACTTCTTCTTTAATCACTTTTGCTAGTCCTTCTAGAATAGTTTTTAACAGTAATGGAGATAATATTTTTGTCATATTTCTTACTATATTTGCAATATGTTTACTATTTCAATATTTAAGCATGATGCTACTTTTGCTTTATGAATGTATGGTAATGTAAAATACCCTATCAATCTATACTTCATTTATTAATACATATGTTATTTTCTGCATTGATTAAGCTTATCAGATGTATTGCACGACCAGATGAATCTAGATTTTCTTAGGTCCCATATGTCCTTACCAGGAAAGTTGTATTGCTTCTCTGGCGAACAGTCACCATTAATTTGCTCGCCAACAATAAATAGTTTTTATATGAGTTTGATTGCATAATGGCAGACATTTAATATTTAATGTGTATGAAATTTGATAGAGTATTTTTAACATGACAAAAATTAAAGCATACTCTTTGATATATGCACCAAATTTAAATGTTTACAATAGTTGATTTGTATTGATTGTTAATACAAATAATTTAATATATGTATTAGGGCCAGGCTTCCTTTGTAGCTCTGGTTGCAATCTCTTATTTGGGTTAACATTCTAGAATCTCCGTAAAGTGAGATTGCCGTACCCTGTCAGAATAAGGCAGTCATCTTGAGCAAACCTAAAAAAGTCAATTAAATGTGTCTGACACTGAAAAGAAAATGTACAAATCCATACGAGCCTTTGACAGTAATACGCATCTCCCCAGAGCCCAGTGATTGCCTGGACCCCTTGCTTCTGAAGAGAAAAGAGACATCAAAGTGATTAGTCATGTAACCCCATTTCCATCCTTGGCCAGCTGAGAAAATTTGAAGCAGAGAAAAGACAGTGAATTCCTAGACCATGACCAATGCTAAAATAAATGAATGTATATAATAAAATAAGAATGATCTCTAGGTTAATTTAACTATGATAGTTAAGGAAAACACTGGAAACGCTGGTAGACACAAATAAATGATTTTTCACTTTAAAAATAATACAGCATTGGGTAATTTATGTTAATATAAATGGCACATTCTTACTTTCCTAAAAGTAACATTAATGGTGGACATTGATGTTGGACATATGGTTTTTTAAAAAATGTAGTATCCAATTCTGTTTTTATGGGAAATTTTTATGAATAAGTAAATAACATCCTCCTTCCAGCTCTACTAGGAATCAGTAATGTGGACATAGAAGTGTGAATCAGACACAGGTGAAAGTTCCCTTGCTGTCCATACCCCTCTTCCCCAATTTAAAACTAGTAACCACGGCTTAATAGCGAGCATAAATAATAGGATTTCCCAGTTGGTTTTTTTCTCTTTATCTTAATTCTCAAGGTTAATATGTTTTTATTTTTTAATTAACTGTGTATATAGAATAGAAAACACTTTAATTCTCTGTTCTGTTGACATCAAGAGAAATCCAACCCGTATTCCTTGTGTCATTACTCCAGAAATTTATTTCATCGCATCCTGGAGGCCTTGGTTGGAACAACTGAAGTTAAATCCTACACACACACACACACGCACCCACACACACCCCTGAGGAAGTCATCATACCTACAACAGTTTTGTGCTGATAATTTTACTGATTTTGTTTATTCAAAATGTATAAACTTCGGAAAGTTACCAGAACTCTACTAAGTTCTACAAGACCCTGTATTTGACTATTAGTAGCATGTAAAGAAACTGCAAAAAATATTTCCATAAATTTCAACAGCAAAGTGGCCGCAGGTACAGCCTCATTCTATAATGTTGTTTTCTATCGAGATTCAGGAACATGGTATCCTCTTAGTAAACACTTGGCATTTGCTGGACTGCTCTAGGCAAGCTTGCAGTGCTTTGCATACAAATTATCACATTATTCCCTGTGTATTCCTGGTGAGGTAGATAGAAATAACGCTGTTTAACAAAAAGGTCACAAATCCCTGTATGTATCCAGCAACTTGGTAAGAACAAAAAGTGAACCATTCAATGTACAGTTAAGAAAAAATAATCACACAACTCTGTAAACTTTTATGTCTGCTGCATTTAAGAAGTAAAAAATGAGTTATAAAAGAATAACGGATGCTTTCAAATTTATGTAAGAGGTAATAGTTTTTTATGATAAATATCCAAATACATTATCTACACACTATGAAAGTTGGCAAAATATGCATATCTATAACACAAAGAAATAACTTGTGTTTGCACAGACAGACTTTTTGTTTATTGAGTAGCCAGATCATTCAGTGAAACATTCTGATCTATCTTATTAAAAGGTCAATTACTTAAATAAATATTTATTAAATGGTTACTTGTTTTCAGTAATTGCTATTGGCCCCAAAAATAAGTTGTTGTTCCTAACTTCTAACTGTCCCCTTGCCAGTCACGGAGAGGTTAAAAATGTACTTTCAATAAAAGCAACTTTCTTTTGTTTCTTTTCTTTTTTTTTTTTTTGAGACAGGGTCTCGCTCTGTCGCCCAGGCTGGAGTGCTGTGGCACGATCTCGGCTCACTGCAAGCTCCGCCTCCCGGGTTCACGCCATTCTCCTGCCTCAGCCTCCCGAGTAGCTGGGACTACAGGCACCCGCCACCACGCCCGGCTAATTTTTTGTATTTTTAGTAGAGAGGGAGTTTCGCCGTGTTAGCCAGGATGATCTTGATCTCCTGACCTCGTGATCCTCTCGCCTCGGCCTCCCAGAGTGCTGGGATTACAGGCATGAGCCACTGCACCCGGCCTGAAAGCAACTTTCTTAATTGATAAATTAACAGCAAAAGTTATAGTCCATTGATTTGCTTGTGTGTCTGAGGCAAATATGGCTGGTGGCAGTGGTATGAGTCCAATTGAACAAGATGAAACTGTGGTACCTGTGCAATATCAAAGTGGTCTTCAAGAGACACTTGAGCATATTTTCTTTCAGTACCTATCTTAACAAAGTGATTAAAGGTCAGGTTTAAGACCAGTCATTTCAGACACAGTTCCATACTCTGATTCCAATATATGGCACTAAAATGTAGTTATTTCATGAGGTCCAAAATGTTAAGTTAGTACAAGACAATGAAGCAGAAACTATTTTAATTCAAGTAACTATTTTTAGGATTCAAAGGAATTATATATACACTTCTGGAAAGCAATGGAATAAAGCAATACAATTATTAGGTAATATAAGTCAGACTTTAAAGCAAATAAGTTTCTATTTAGAAGAGCTTAACACTTGTTAAGCACACCAGTTTATAAAATATCATGTGCCAATAAATAGAAAAGTACGAGACAATTTTGAAGTGGTTAAAAGCAAGCCTATTCATTGGTGTTATATAGTGGCCAATATATAAACACATATTGATATAATACTTCTGAACTTTCTTAAACATTAGACATATTTTATTTCAAGTATACTACTATTTTCAAGATTACAAAGCAGAACACTATAAATTGAGGCAAAGTGTAAACTCACATGTTATTCTTGGCAAAATTGAGATTGATATTTAAATAAGTAGCTTATACATATTGACATTTAATATATCATAATGACAAAAAATAATATTTCTAACCTAAAATAAGTGTTCATATGCTTCTATATGGCAATAACCCACAAGTATGTAATCTCAACAGAATCAATTGTTCCATAACAACATAGAGACTAATCTGTAGTGAAAAGTTGAATAATTCTTTTGTTGATGAAGCATTGAAAGGCTTTTATTTTAAAAAGGAAATAGTTATAGGATACATAACTTTCAAATTTGCAGATAAAATTTTGTTATGATATATGCTAAAAGGTCTTGTATAATTTAGTCAGTATTCAAAAATTCAGAGACTAGCATGATGTGTGCTAAAACTTAAGAAATAAAATTTAATTTAGGTCCTACTAGTGGTTACAACTAAAGTGTCTGTTCATCTCCCAAAATGTTTTTCTTTTGAAAACTTGTTTACTTACCAGAATGGACCCTAGTAGCCGTGTGAATTCAAGGTGGCTTTCCTCTCCAGACACAATGGTTTAAGCCAGAATTAGACACTCAGTATCTGCATGTGCTAGGAAACAAAATTAAGGTAAACTCAAGAGTTCCTCGGCTCTGTTGAACAATTTCTGAAAAAAATAAGTGAATGAGAATCCAGAGGGAGCACATTTTCACACGGAAAAGAACTGGGAACATGTATTTAGAAATAAAATAAAAGTAGAAGCAGAGTTTACCTGTTGGTTTTCCAATGCCTTTCATTCAGACATACCTATTAATATATGTAGGTCATTGATAGTGGTGGTGATTAAAACTCAGAAATAGGACTGTAATTCTATTTTCTGGGATCTATGAAGACATGACTGATCATAACAGAGATATACATAATTATTAATAAATTGATCATAACAGAGATATTAGTAAAATAATTATTACTAAGATGAAAGATACAAGTAATTATTAATAAAATGCAGTATCCCGGGCCAGGCATGGTGGCTCACGCCTGTAATCCCAGCACTTTGGGAGGCTGAGGTGGGCGGATCACAAGGTCAGGAGATCGAGACCATCCTGGCTAACACAATGAAACCCCATCTCTACTAAAAATACAAAAAATTAGCTGGGTGTGGTGGCAGGCACCTGTAGTCCCAGCTACTCTGGAGGCTGAGGCAGGAGAATGGCATGAACCTGGGAGGTGGAGGTTGCAGGGAGCTGAGATTGCTCCACTGCACTCCAGCATGGGTGACAGAGCAAGACTCCATCTCTAAATAAATAAATTAATTAATTAATTAAAATAAAATGCAGTATGCCTAAAGCTAGTAGGACTACACTAAGCTTGTCTGGATGGATGACAGATACAGAGAAATAAATTGTCATTTAGGAGACATGTTGGTCAGCCTTAAAAATAAAGAAAATATATTTGCTATTGTGAGTATTGCTACAATAAGCATACCAGTGCAGGTATCTTTTTAATATGATTTCTTTCACTTTGAGTATATAGCCAATAGTGGGATTACTGAATTGAATGGTAGTTCTATTTTTGGTTCCTTGAGAGAACTCCATACTGTTTTTCATAAAGGTTGTACTAATGTACATTCCCACCAACAATGTGTAAGCATTCCTTTTTCCTCGCATTCTCATTAACACCTGTTGTTTTTAGACTTCTTAATAAAAGCTATTCCAACTGGTGTAGGATAGTATCTCCTTGTGGTTTTAACTTTCATTTCTCTGATGATTAGTGATGTTAAGCATTTTCTTCACATTTCTTGGCTACCATATTTCTTTTGAAATATGTCTGTTCATGTCGTTTGCTCATTTTTAATAGGACTGTTTGTTTTTTTTTCTCGTTGAATTCCTTGTAGATTCTAGATATTAGCCCTTTATCAGATGCATAGTTTGCAAATATTTGTTCCCATTGTGTGGGCTGTCTCTTCACTCTGTTGATCGTTTCTTTTCCTGTGCAGAAGCTTTTTAGTTTAAGTCCTGTTTGTCTATTTTTGTTTTGGTTTTATTTGCTTAGTCATAAATTATTTGCCTAGGCCAACGTCCAACAAAGATTTGCCCTAGGTTTTCTTCTAGGAATGTTTTAGTTTCAGGTCTTAGGTTTAGGTCCTTAATCCATTTGAGTTAATTTTTTTATATGGTAAGAGATATGGATCCAGTTTCATCCTTTCACTTATGACTATACAATTTTCCCAGCAAAACTGATTAAATAGGGTGTCATTTCCCTATTTGCACCCCATTTGTTGACTTTTTCAAAAATCAGTTGGTTGCAGGTATGCGGCTTTATTTCTGGGTTCTCTATTCTGTTTCATATATCTGTGTATCTATTTTTATATCAGCACCATGCTATTTTGGTTACTATATCCTTGTAGCATAATTCAAAGTCAGGTAATGTCAGCTAATGTGATGCCTTCAGCTAAGTCTCCATCAGTGGAGTATTGGATAAAGAAAATATGGTGTACACACACACACACACACACACACACACACACACACACACACATCATGGAATACTAACCAGCCATAAAGAAGAATGATATAATGTATTTTGCAGCAACATGGATGGAACTAGAGGCCATTATCCAGAAACAGAAAGTAAAATATGGTGTGTTCTCACTTATAAGTGGGAGCTTAATAATGGTACACAGGGACCCATACAAAAAGTTGGAAAGGTGGGAGGTGGGTGAGGATTGAAAAAAAATTATCTATTGGCTACAATGTTCATTATTTTGGTGATGGGTACGCTAAAAACCCACACTTCACTATGACACAATATAAGCATGAGATAAACCTGTACTTCTACTCCCTAAATATATAAAAATAAAAAATAAAAAATGGTGGTTTAGAAAAGTGAGAAATTTTTTTAAAACAATTAAAAAAAAATAAACAGAGAGGCATAGCAGCCAGTTTTAAGTTCATACGACTCTCTCCGGAGAACTGGAATAAGATGACTTTTAGAAATGATATTTGGCATGCCTCGCAGATACAGAAGACATGAAAGTATGGGATAGGTATAAAGCGACTAGAGTCTAATTCTAATAAATATACAATTAATGTAACAAATTTTACCTGAGTCTATGCCTGCAAGCTTCTCCAGAGATTTTTGTCTTTTAACAAGTGTAGCTTTTCACATGGAGATTATGCACTAGCGCTTTTATTGTAACTCTTGTGCTGTTGGCAGCTTATTGCTCAACATAATCAAAGAAATTCTGCTTTTATATTTGTCTTTTACAAATATCCTTACCCTGATTTAACATTCCAGAAGCATAACAACTTTGAGAAACTAGGAAGTTTGAACCTTTGAGTTTGCCAGGCAATAATAAAGGGTGAGTTCAGGTTTGGAATAAATGCAACAGTAAGGAACTGGGAAGGCTTCCCAGATTACACTTTTTAAATTGTGCTTTATTTTCAAATTTGTCTAACAGGTTTTCAAGTAGAGTTAATATTACACCTGGGCTAATGCTGGTCTACTTGTGAATGATTTTGCTATATTTTTCCTTGAAAGTTACATTTAAAATTAATGTGGAATTTTGCATCCATTCTACTCTAATATCTAGTCTGTGTAACTCTCCAGGAATAAATACATTCAATTTGCATGAAAGCTGTGGGTCTATATAATTGGTGGCAGACTCAGATTGTAGCCGCTCTGTGTCAAGATGGCCCACTCATAACTTGGTTCGTATCTGTCTGTCTGTAGAAGCCCTACGTATCCATCAGGCAAGGGAAAAAAGAAACTCTGGGGCCAGAGCTGGACCTTCCCATGGTACAGAAACCTATCTACGGTAGCTCCACTCCTTTTCCTTCCATAAAACTAATTAAATGCGGTATCATATTGATGCCTATTCGTGCCTTGTAAGTCTGGTTGCTAGCTGTGTCCCTTGGCAATAGGTAACGAAGTTCAGGGGTATTAAAAATTGCTTTAGTATAGATTAGTGATATAATAAAATTAATTTTTGAAAGGCAAATACTAAGGTTCCATGAATATTAAGATTATATTCATAAATTCTTATGCTTAAAACATAACAGACTCTTAATAAACAGAATTTCCCTTTCTATGAGTTTCTGACACTATTCAAGACATTTGGTGAGAGGAATGAAACAAAGTATAGGACATTTATAACAATAAATCTAAAATATTCTTAAAGCAACATGAAAATAATTTGAGAGTTAAAATAGGTAAAGCCATATGAAGTTGTCATTTTTATAAATCAAACATTTTGAATTATTTTTGTTACTTTTCTGACAGAACACAATGCAGAAACAAATGTCCACAACAAAACAAAAAATACATTGTTGATAAGAGAAGAGTTATTTTACACAAAATCTTGCATATAATCAACTTTAATTTGCCTCCCCAGCTGGCTTTGTCTGACTAGGCCCAGATGACTGGGCAAATGAGGACTATATTGTGGGGAGAAAAAACAAAAAACCACAGCAAAGCCAGGCAAAGTGGCTCAAGCCTGTAATCCCAGTGTGTCTGGAGTTGGTTTCTTCTGGCGGGTTCATGGTCTCACTGACTTCAGGAAGGGAGACGCGGACCTTCGCAATGAGTGGTACAGCTCTTAAAGATGGCACAGACCCAAAGAGTGAGCAGCAGCAAGATTTATTGTGAAGAGTGAAAGAACAAAGCTTCCACACCATGGAAGGGGAGCCCAGCCGGTTGCCACTGGTGGTTGGGGTGGCCAGCTTTTATTCCCTTATTTGTCCCCTCCCATGTTCTGTTTCTGTCCTATCAGAGTGCCCTTTTTTCAATTCTCCCCACGACTGGCTATTTTCAGACTCCTGCTGATTGGTGCATTTTACAGAGTGCTGATTGCTGCATTTTACAGAGCACTGATTGCTGCATTTTACAGAGCACTGATTGGTGCATTTTACAATCCTCTTGCTAGCTACAGAGCGCTGATTGGTGCATTTTACAATCCTAGCTACAGAGTGCTGATTGGTGTGTTTTACAATCCTCTTGTAAGACAGAAAAGTTTTCCAAGTCCCCACTTGACCCAGAAGTCCAGCTGGCTTCACGTCTCACCAGCAGTTTGGGAGGCCAATGCAGGTGGATCACTTGAGGCCAGGGGTTCAAGACCAGTGTGGCCAACATGGTGAAACCCCATCTCTATTAAAAAATACAAAAATTAGCCAGCTGGGCATGGTGGTGCATGCCTGTATTCCCAGCTACTCAGGAGTCTGAGGCAGGAGAATTGCTTGAACCCGGGAGGCAGAGTTTGCAGTGAGCCAAGATCACACCACTGGACTCCAGCCTGGCTGATAGAGTGAGACTCCATCAAAAAAGAAACAAAAAAACAAACAACAACAACAAAAAAACTCATACCAAGGGTATTTCCACCTGCCTCTTTTAATGTGAAAGTATCTAATACATTACTGGGAAAAGTAGTCTGTTTTTTTAAGACTGACAGTAATAAGTACTCACTGAATTAGGCACATTATCTCCATTGTCATAACAATAACCTATTCTTTGTGACTTTTTATGCAGATATGTTTTATACATTTCAATGAATTACATTTAATATTTACAATTCTGCCAGGAAGATATTGTTATCCAACTCAAACAGTTATAAGAATTCAGGACTTGAAGAATTAAAGAATTATATGACAGAGTCACAGTGTGAACTCATGTCTCTGGGTCTTCAAACCCCAGGCTCTTTAACCTGTGTCTCCTTATCTGAAATGAAAAACACAAAAGGCAGTAAATTCCAAACAACAACAAATACACACACAGACACACACACACATACACACACACACACAGGAATTTCCAGGGATATTCATCAAAAGCATTTACTTGCAAATGTTTAGCTGCTGATGACTGAGGTAAGGGAGAGCCATTGAAACATGTAATAGGCAGACATAAAAGTACTGAAAGGAAGAAGTTAGGGAAGGAGATACTTAGGAAAATAAGTCTTAGAAGAGTATCTCTCAGTGAATATTCAGGTCATATGCATGCATATATTTAGACTGGCAGTGTTGTGCAATTGGTAGGAATCCAAACTATGAATCTGGTCTTCACCAAGCAAAGAACTTTATTTTGCCTATGGTTGTCACTTATATCAATTTAAAATTTGTTTCATCAGTTAGAGGTACTTTTTTTGTTAGAAAATTAACCTTTTGACTTCCACTAAGCCTTCCATTTCTGGATCTCTTTGTATATTAAATCATTATAATAAACCACTAATAAACCATTACTACAATAATGTAATTAAAATCTATTGCATTCAGCTTTCAAATATTTTGTGGAAGGAGCAGGTGATTATGTTATGAATAAACAAATCAGTCAGTTCCTGATTGGAAGAAAAATGCAAATCAGAAACTATTTTAATAAGGACAGTTATTTTAGTGATTATAGGGTTGTTTGCTTGATTCCTTCTGCAGATACTATTAGTTGAAAGGTAGCAGCACTATACAATTTTATAGATAGTACTAAGATAAGATTAATATGGTAAAGCCCCATCTTTTTTCTTTTTTAATAAAACAAGAAGAGTTATGCAGATAGGGAATGCTTTGTAATGAAAACATACAATAATTTTTATCTTTCACCTGCAAGTTTATATTATTCTGATTTGGGATATAAAATAGAAGACACATATTTAACTTAAAATATAATTTTTCATATTATGTACATTTGTTTAATCTTCATAAAATATTTACTATGAAGAGAAAAAATATTTATAATGAAACATGAATTTCGTACCGTTCCTGTTGGAAATTAAATATTCAAAATTTAATGAGCATAATTAAGAACATAACAATGCCTCAAAAAACATAGTAATGAGAAAATAAAAAAACTAATTAGAATATTAGGAAAAAAGAATTTAATGCAAAATTTCAGCCTTTTTTCAGACATAACTGATGACTGAGGTATGGAAAGTTCCCTGTCTTGACTAAATTATTATAATTATTGTAATAATTATAAATTTATAATTATACATATAATTATAATAATTATAATTATTGTACTAATTATAATAATTACTACATTCTGTTGCCCAGGCTAGAGTGTAGTGGCTCCATTTTGGCTCTCTGCAACCTGTCCCCACTCCTGGGCTCAACTGATCTCTCCACCTCAGCCTCCTGAGTAGCTGGGACCACAGATGCATACTGCTATCCCTGGCTACTTTTTGTATTTTTTGTAGAGGCAGGGTTTTGCCATGTTGCCCAGGCTTGTCTCGACTCCTCAACTCAAGTGATCCGCCTGCCTTGGCCTTCCAAAGTGCTGAAATTACAAGCATGGGCCACCACACTCAGTCTATATTTTTAATTAAAAAAACTACTATTAAAATATAACGCTTATAATGATGTCAATAAATATGATAGGGTAGGAAACGCCAAAACTCCGTTGCATGTAGTCACTGCAGCCATTTCAGCACAAGGAAGTGTCCTAAACCCAAGAAACTTGCAGATTCTTAGATATACGGTGTTAATGGACTTGGGGAAGTTAAGGAAGAATTCCCCAGGTTCCCAGACAAACTTTCTTGCACCCTTCTCTCACTTTCCTTCAAGCTGTAGAAATCTCTCTCCATGCTGGGCTGCCTGGAGCTGGGGGAAATGTGACACAGGTACTTACTTTACCATCACATCTAGCAGTGAACTGAGTTACACGTGAAGCCTGGAGCAACACGGGTCTGGGACCGAGACCAGCGTCCTGGGAGACTTGACCTCTCAGAGCAGCATAGTATTGGGGCTTGCTCAAGACCCAGGTCTGCTACTGCCTTGCTTCTGCTGATGTTTATTTAAGGCCCAAGGCTACTTTAGTCAGCAGGTGGTGAATATTCATCACTCGTTTTCCCCCCAAAACAGAGTCTGTCTGCACTGCCTGTAGTTGAAGAAGGGGTGATGCAGGCACTCCTGTGGTCATAGCAGCTTGTTTTGCACTGGGATGCACATCAAGCCCACTACCTCTGAGACCAGTGTAGCACCAGAGTCTGCCCAAGGACTGCAGTCTCTGTGGCCTGTGTACCATTCAAATTTATTTGGGACCCCAGGCCACTTTAGTCAGCTGGTGATGAAGACAGCCAGGATTCAATTTCTCCCACTGATATAGGGGATTTCCCTCTGGCCCAGGACTGATCTAAATGTTCCCTTCCTGGGCATCAGAAAAATTCTGCCAAATGTTGTATTTCACTGTGACAAGGAAGCACTGAGTTCCAATATGAAGTCCCACATTTTTTTTGCTCTTCCTCCTCCAAGCACTGAGATTCCCTCTCCATGAGCAGCCTGGGGGTAGAGCAGGAGCAGTGTAGGCAATGCAAGACTATATCCTTCTTACTCCCTTCAATGCCTCTTTCCCTGTTACTATGAAAAAATGAGGTACTGTGATCTCTCACCTTATTTTTTTGGTTCCTATGAAGGTTTTCTTGCATGGATACTTGTTCAATTTGGTGTTCCTGTTGGGAGTCAATCGCTGGAGGGTTCTAATCCTACTCCACCTTATCCTCTTTAATACCCTACTTTTAACAATGAATAGAACAAGTAGGCAGAATATCAATAAGGAAATAGAGGACTTGAACAACACCATAAATCAACTAGACTAGCAGCCACATGTATGGCACTCCACGGAACAATAGCATAAAACACCCGATCTCCATGAACATTCTCCAGAATAGACCATATTTTAGGTAATAAAACAAGTCACAAAAAAGTTTAAAAGACTTAAATATACATCATAACTTCTCTGATGACAATGGAATTAAATATAAATCAGTAATAGAAGGAAATATAGAAAATTCACAAATATGTAGAAATTAAAACATTCTTGACTAATAAATCAAAGGAAAATTATAGGAAAATTATAAAATACTTTGAGATTAAAGAAAATGGAGGAAACACCAAAAATAATGAAATTTAGTAAAGACAGTTCTTAGAGGGCAATATATGGCAGTAAACACATTAGAAAGTTAGAAATATATAAAATCAATAACCTAACTTTATGACTTAATTAGAAAAAAAGAGCAAACTAAGCCCAAAGCTAACAGAACAAAGGGAACAAAGATTAAAAGGAAGATCAACAAAATAGAAAATAGAAAAACAATAGAATCAAGAAAAAACAAAAATGATAAGCTTTCAGATCGATTGACCAATATAAAAGACAAAAGACTAGTAATATCAGAAATGGAAAGTAGGAACATTGCCACTGATAGTCCAGAAATAAAATGAATTATGAGGTAATATTATAAATAAATTTATGTCAACAAATTAGATAACTTAGATGAAATGGATAAATTCCTATAAAGACACAATCTATTCAAACTAAATCAAAAAGAAACAAAAAAATTCGAATAGGCCTATTAAAAGACCTCCAAGACATTGAATTCATAATCATAAACTTTCCAAGAAAATCCAAAGACCAGATGGCTTCACTGATGAATTCTACCAAACATTTAAAGAAGAAGAAACACTAACCCTTCTCAAAATATCAAAAATGTGGAGGAAGGAACAGTTCAAGCTCATTCTATAAGTCCAGCACTACCATAATACCAAAGCCACACAAGGACATCACAAAAAAAGAAAACTATAGAATAACACTTCCCATAAATATTGATTCAAAAATTATCAACAAAACAGCAGCAATCAGAATCCAGCAGCATGTTAACATACTTAAACATTATGATCAAATGGGATTTATCCTAAGAATGCAAGAATGGTACAACATACAAAATTAAATCAATGTAATATATCACATTAAAAGGAATGAAAGGGGGTAAAACTCACATGATCATCTCAATTTATGCAGGAAAAATTGACAAAATTTAGCACATTTTTAGAATAAAAACACTCAATAAACGAATCGAATAATTTTTTAACAGGAGAAATGACATTTGTGAAAAACTCACAGAGAACGTCCTTACTAGTAATGAAAATAAAAGTTTTACTTGTAAGTTCAAGACCATATGGAGGATGAAAGCTATCACCACTTCCATGGAACATAGCACTGGAAACTCAAGCCAGAGCAATTGGTTGAGGGAAAGAAATAAAACTCTTCCAAATTGGAAAGGCAGAAGTTAAATTACCTACGTTCACAGATGACATAATTTTATACATAGAAATACTAAAAAATTCCCAGAAAAATCATAATGCTAATATATGAATTAAGCAAAATTTCAAAATAGAAGGTCAACATTCAAAAATAAGTTTCATTTCCCTACACTAGCAATGAAAAATCAGAAAAGAACAATAATTCAGTGTATAATAGCATCAAAAAGAATAAAATGCACACAGTAAAAGTAATCACTGAAAACTATAAAACATTCCTAAATCAAATAAGATCTAAGTAAATGAAAGACATCTACACTCGTGAATTGAAAATTTTGATATTATTAAAATGATGGTAATCCTCAAATTTTTATACAGATTCAGGGAAATCTTGACCAACATCCCAGTGGCCTTCTTTGCAGAAATGGCAAAGCCAATCCTGAAATTCATATGGAATTGTGAAGGACCCAAAGTATCCAAGACAGTCTTGAAAAAAAAAAAAACAAGATTGGAGAACTCTCATGGCCATAATTTTTAGTATTTTAATCCATTGTCCATTTCTTCACTATTGTGAAAGTACCTGTATCTTCTATTGTTTCTTAATTCATACCTTTGTAATGCTGAAGTCAATTTGCTTAAGTTATAAACATTATTTAGGCTTCTAAAATATTACGCTTTTGATAGATTCTGGAAAATTATTATTCAGATTGCTTTCATCATGTGCCTCCTGCAGCAGTATCTGCGTTATCCCCAACCTACTTCATATTAGGTATTTAACACTTTAAATTTTGTAATTTTATCAATTTCTTATTTATAATCATTGTCTATTTTCCTTTTTTTTGGGGGGGGGATGAAGTCTTGCTCTGTCACCCAGGCTGGAGTGCAGTGACGTGATCTCTGCTCACCGCAACCTCCGCCTCCTGGAATCAAGCGATTTTTCTTCCTCAGCCTCCCTAGTAGCTGGGATCACAGGTGCCCGCCACCACGCTGGGCTAATTTTTGTATTTTTAGTAGAGACGGGGTTTCACCATGTTGGTCAGGCTGGTCTCGAACTCCTGACCTCGTGATCTGCCCGTCTCAGCCTCTCAAAGGGCAGGAATTACAGGTGTGAGCCACCGCGCCCAGCTGTTTTCTTTTGGAGAATCTTTTATTTACAAGTAATTACATTCTTATTTATTTCAAGCATTTTAATTATATTTATATATGGGTGTCTACCAATGGCTATATCCACCTATCTATAGCTGACAATGCTGTTAGGGTTCTGGTCTTCCCTTCTTTGTTCCTTCCTTTCACCATTTTCTTTCACATCTTTTTATTTTTTCCCCTCTCAAGAATAAGCCCCTGCTTTTCCTTCTGTTGGCAGATTGCCACCAGGCTGATAGATCTTTTTTTTTTAATAGCAGAAATGGAAAGCCAAAAGTGTATGAGAATTTAAATTTCCCAATCAATAACTGACAGGCATAGGAGTACAATTTCTTCTGCTTCCTTGATCCCTATTTGAACACTTCTAAAAGATTATCTACTCTATATCCAGAGCTTCTTTGCAGGATAGAGTCACAGCGAATGCAGGTGTGATTTGCTTGGTACTTTATTTTTTGTTTGGCCTCCTTACTTCCCTTTGTCAAATTTTCTTATTTATTTTTTCATTTATTCTGAATGTATCTTAAATAAGCTACCTTTATTTTGATTTTTATTTCACTGTCTGCTTCTGTGGAACCCAAATTATCACACTCTTAAAAAATGTAGATTTTTAATTTTATTTGTTGTGGCATAACATACATACAATCATGTATATTAAGCATGTTAGTCTTAGATATTTCACTTGATATATTTTTTATCTACAGACACAAGATGCATCTATAAGGTGCTTTTATGAAAAAACACCTTGATCAAGATAGAAACTTGATCAAGATATATCTTTATCAAGATATAAACATTTTTAACACTCCTAAAATTTCCCTCATGCTTCTTCATGATCAGCACTCTGCACTTTCACCCCTGAAGCACACAAAACAACTTGTTTTGGCTCTGTCAGCATCTATTAGCCTTTAAAAAAAGTTTTTGAATTTCATATAAATGGATTCATACAGAATGTACTCTTAATGTTTCTTTCTTAATTTATACAGTATAATGGCCATCTTAGTCCATTCAAACTCACACAACAAAATACCATAAACTGGGTGGCTTATAAACAACAGACGTTTGTTTCTCACTGCTTTGGAAGACCAGCAGTTCAAGATCAAGTCACCGGCAGATTCTGTGTCTGGTGGGAGCTTGCTTCCTTATAGACATTCATCTTCTCATTGTAAGCTCACATGGTGGAAGGGGTGGATGAGCTCTACATATTTCCTTTGATTTACAGAAGCCACATACATCTACATCAACATATAGCTTTCAGAATTTTAATTTATATTCTTAGGTTCTTATATATACCTTACATTATGCTTTTTTATTTCTGATTCAGATCTTTTCCATTTTTCATGTTGACTATCTAAAACAATCATGATGATTGCTTGTGCTAATATTTCAAAATGAAGAATTATGTTTATTATGTGTTTATTAGCATAGTTACATGAATTATGTAAGTCACTTTTCTGTATAAGCCTATCACTTAAATGGGAAGAAATGACTATGTCAAGATGTGATCTCACCAATAAAATATTTCTTTGTGTAGCATAAGGTAGGGAATAGGTAGGTAGACTGGGAAGTTCATGTCAATGTAGCCATTGCTAGAAAGAGCTTTGTACTTTTTAATTTAATCTTTATCTATTTGGCTTTACAATTTTAAAAAATGCATCCAGTGCCTGAAAAGGGCATTCATCATTTTGCAATTAGTGTACATCTGAGAAAGACTATTAGAGCCTAATGCCCAATGTGAAAATTCCTCCTCAATAAAGAACGATTTTATGTTTTTGTTTGTTTGTTTGTTTTTTGTTTTGAGATGGAGTTTTGCTCTTGTTGCCCAGGCTGAAGTGCAATGGCATGATCTCGGCTCACCGCAACCTCCGTCTCCTGGATTCAAGCGATTCTCCTGCCTCAGCCTCCTGAGTAGCTGGGATTACAGGCAAGCACCACCACGCCCAGCTAATTTTTTGTGTTTTTAGTAGAGACGGGGTTTCTCCACGTTGGTCAGGCTGGTTTTGAACCCCTGACCTCAGGTGATCTGCCCACTTCGGCCTCTCAAAGTGCTGGGATCACAGGCATGAACCACTGCACCTGGCCGATTTTATGGTTTTAATCTTGGTGCAAACATTAAACTAGCCACTGTCTATCTATCTTTACTTACTGGAGGTTGAAGGGGAGGTGTAAGGAAAATTTGTCTAGCCTAGCTATTCTATAGTAATTAAATATTAAATGCTAATCCTTGAAAAAGAGTGTTCAGTAATTTCAAAGACTAAAAGTTTTAGACTCTTTTGCAACATCACTTCTGAAGTCTTTTTGTACTGGTTTTGCTTAAGTTTACATTTCAGAAATCTTCCAAATATCTGGTTTTCAAACTAATTTGTTTTATATTAGTAAAAGTTTATAATTTGAAAATAATCTGTTGTTTTAATGGATTTTAGGGAAATAGGGCAATTAAATAATTTGAATCAAAGCTAGTTTTTGTCTTTTGTGTTATTCATGTTGGGTTCTTCATCTTTGACTCACAATTATGTATAGTTGGTACATATTTTGATTCTCTGTTAATTGATAGAGGTTCACATTATATATAGAGACAGAGATGAGGATATTGATGCCCTAAGCGTAAGTAGTTTCCTCAAGGTCAAGTGGCTACTAAGTGCAAAAGCTAAGTTGAAGGCAAGGTTTGACTATATTTAAAAATAATATTAATATTGTTATCCACTAATCCAGTTTTTAATGTGCCATTGGTGCAACTGTATCGACTTTGTGGAGCTTTACAAAATCAGATTCCCAAAATCTTCCCAGGTCTAAAAATAAAAGTATCTATTACTGCTGACAATATTTAATTATTTTTGCTATCATCACATATGATATTTAGAGCCATGAGTTTGAAAAACATTAAACAATATTACATTATAAATTAGAAAATCAATAGACTAGTATGTTTACTAGTTTATTTGTTTTGTCCCTTTTTTCAAGGTTCTTCTTAAAAGGGATATGTTATTTTTTGGGTGTGGGGGTTAATTGAAGCCAAATGCTTTTTATTAGCTCAGGCTCCCAGCTCATGACGACTTTGTGCTCTTATTTATAAGGATAATAATAACCAATTATGTGATAGTATCCAGAGGGAGCAAATTTTTATAAATTTCTTTTTTTTTTTTTTGCGATGAAGACTCACTTACTGTTTCACCCAGGCTGTGGAGTCCAGTGGCATGATGCAATCTCTGCTTCCTCGGTTCAAGAGATTATCCTGCCTCAGCCTCACGTGTAGTCGGGATTACAGATGTGTGCCACCACAATGGGCTAATTTTTGTATTTTTTGTAGAAATGGGGTTTCACCATGTTGGCCAAGCTGGTCTTGAACTCCTGACCTCAAGTTATCTGCCTGCCTCGACCTCGAATTTTTATAAATTTCTTTATGATGCCACAAGGTAATTGGGAAAGTTAATTGAGATCATGCAAATAGAAACTCAAAGTTTTATATAAGAATTTGAAAGTGAGGCCGGGCGCAGTGACTCACATCTGTAATCCCAGCTCTATGGGAGGCCGAGGCGGGCGGATCACGAGGTCAGGAGATTGAGACCATCCTGGCTAACACAGTGAAACCTAGTCTCTACTAAAAATATAAAAAATTAGCTGGTCATGGTGGCGTGTGCCTGTAGTCCCAGCTACTTGGGAGGCTGAGGCAGGAGAATGGCATGAACTCTGGAGGCAGAGCTTGCAGTGAGCCGAGATCGCACCACTGTACTCCAGCCTGGGAGATAGAGCGAGACTCCATCTCAAAAAAAAAAAAAAAGAATTTGAAAGTGAAAACTCCAGGATTTTGTTCAGTTCCATCTAAATTAATCAAACCCTATACATGTAATTTTTTTAATTCCTTCAGAAAATTATTTCACCACAGCAGTCACTAGAATTGTTTGCAAACACCACATTTCTCCTCACCTTCTCTGTTCATGATACGATTATACTTCCTCATAGATGTGATATTAGTCCACGTGACTTTCTTTGGCCAAGTAAATGTGTATAGAAATGATGTATGTTGCTTCCAGGAAGAACTTCTGGAGCCAGTGCACAGTCCACCATTTCTTCTTCACTGTGAAATAATGATTTTAATAGTAGCTGTCAAGAAAGAGCCTCCTTTAGCCAGAGTGACCACACAGGGTGGAGAAACTTGTTGTATGTGAATCCTCTGAAACTTAGTAGTTGGTTGTTTTGGTAATATATTCTAGTTCACTATGACTATCATATTAACTTTCAGAAACATTATGCTGGGACACTTTCCCTGAAAAACTTTGGAAACATTGGAATGATGAGACAAAGACCTTTGCTTCACTCTTTACCATGTGCTGTTGTTTTCATAAGACATAGAAGGGACCCTGATATTTGGAGTCCTAAAAACTGTCTACGATGGCAATGAGATGTTTTTAAAAAGCAAGATAAATATGGGTTACATTTAAACTATAGGATAATGTTATAGCCATCTACACATATATACACACTCTTAGAAAGTAGTTGCTAAGCATGTAAAAATATATATTAAAATGTGACAGTAAAATTGCTGATATAATCTGCAAAAAGGTTGATAAAATTTGCATATTTGCCCCTTTAAATCTCACATTGAAATGTGATGCCTAATGCTGGAGGCGGGGACTGGTGGGAGATAATCATGGGGGCAGATCCCTGATGAATGGCTTGGTGCCATCCCATTGGTGATGAGTGAGTTCTCATTCTGTTCATGTGAAATTTGGTTATTTAAAAGACTCTGGGACATCCCCTTCTCTCTATTGCTTCCTTTCTTGCTATGTGACATGCTTGCTCCCTCTTCACCTTCTCCCATGTTTATAAGCTTCCTGAGACCCATACCAGAAACAGATGCCAGCATCATTCTTCCTGTATGGCTTGTAGAACCATGAGCCAAAATGGTCTTTTAAGCTTCCTAAATAATCCACTAAAAAAACAAACAAACAAACAAAAAGGAGTGAAAATGGCAGAGCAGGAAGATTCATGGAATGGTTTCTCCAGCTAAGCAACCACTGAACTAAAAGAAACAATTGGAATAAACTATGCTGAAATTCTGGAATATGATGGGTCAGATATAATAGCTGGGGATTTATTGATGAAGGGAGAGACTACTGTTTTGGGGAGAGCAGCTGGCATTTCTGGGGTGGCTGACTGGTGCCAAACAGAGATGGTAGACCTTGTGCTCCAAAAATTTGAGGTTATCTCAAGTTGTTCTGGTGGTCCCCTAAAAGAATGGCACAGAAACTTTCCTTACATTTAGCCCTCTGAATTGTAATGATTTCCTCTGGTGGCATCTATTAAGACATTTACAAAGACAGAATCCTTCTCCCTCACCCCCTTTTGGAGCCAGACATTTAGAAAAACTTTTGTTAAGTCGCTATCTGAACCCAGACAAAAGGGTCCAGAAACTAAGTGACCACATACAAGGTATACACACTTCAAAATAAATAATTTGGAAAAGTTATAAATGGGTATTTCCAGCCCTATACAAGCCAAGTCAACAATCCTTGATGATTTTGAGAATCAGATTTCCAAAATTACCATATTATAGCACTAAAAATGCTCAGTTCTCTATGAAAAATTAGAAAAGACTCAAGGAAACTAGAAAGTATTACCTACTAAAATGGTTTAAAAAAATCTTGACAGACACCATTCCTAAGGAAGCCTAGACATTGGAATTACTGAATTCAACATATATTAAAGGGATTATATATCAAGGTAAAGTGGGATTTAGCCCACAAATTCAACATATAGGTTGATTCAACATACTGAAATCAATCAATATAATACAACAAATTAATACACTGGAAGAGAAAAATAACACGATTATTTCATTAAAGGCAGAAAAATATTTGACACAATCAGTACCCTTTCATAATAAGCAAACACTCACAAATGAACTAGAAATAGAAGAGAACTACCTCAACTTAGCTAAGGTCATCTATGAAAATGTCTGCAGCTAAAAGCAAACGTAATAGCGAAAGATTGAATGCATTCTTTCTAACATCAGAAAGATAGTGATGTCTGCTCTCACTACAATTATTTAACATTGTACTAAAGATACTAGTCAGTGAAATAAGGCAATAAAATAAAGTAAAAGGCATCGGATTGAACATGAAGTTATAAAATTATATTTATTTGCAATTCATCATGATTTTGTATAAAGAAAATACCAAGGAATCAAAAGGATTATTAGAGCTAGTAGATAAGTTCAGTAAAGTTGCATGATATAACAGCAATATTCAAAGATCTATTGTACTTTTATACACTAAAAATCATCTTAAAATAAAATTAAGAAATCAATTTTATTAAAAATATCACAACAATAAAATACTTAGAAATGAATTTAATAAAAATATCAAGATAGACACTGAGGGTTACAAAAACATTGTTAAAAGAAATTAAAGCTCTAAATAAATAGAAGTGCATCCCATGATTTCATGTTAATGGGCTAGAAGGCATATCATTACTAAAATGTCAATACATCAGAAACTGATACATATCAGTGTGAACTCTATCAAATTTTCAACTGACTTTTTTTGCAGAAATAGACAAGCCAATACTAAAACTCATATGGAAATACAGGAGACATAGAATAGTAAAAACACACTTAAAAAAAGAACAAAATTGGACTATTCACATTTCTTGATTTCAAAACATACTATACAAAACCATTGTCATCAACACTATGTGTAACTGGCATAGAAATCAAAAACATAGATTAACAAAATGAATTTTATGGTATACAAAAAACCCTATGCATGTATGACTAATCGATGTTTGAAAACAGTGCCAAGAAAATTTTATAGTAAAAAATATATAGGCTTTTCAACAAATAGTGCTTGACCAACTCAATATTGATATGCAGAACAATGAAATTGGACCCTTTATAATATCCTGTTAAAAATCAACTCAAACTAGATCAATATGTAAGTGTAGGAGCTAAAACTAAAAAGTCTTATAAAGAAACATAGGTGGCTGGGCACGGTGGCTCAGGCCTGTAATCCCAGCACTTTGGGAGGCTGAGGCGGGTGGATCAGGAGGTCAGGAGATTAAGACCATCCTGGCTGACACAGTGAAGCCCTGTCTCTACTAAAAAATAGAAAAAAATAGCTGGGCATGGTGGTGGGTGCCTGTAGTCCCAGCTACTCGGGAGGCTGAGGCAGGAGAAAGGCATGAACCCTGGAGGCGGAGCTTGCAGTGAGCCAAGATCACGCCACTGCACTCCAGCCTGGGCGACAGAGCAAGACTCCTTCTCAAAAAAAAAAAAAAAAAATGCAACTTTTTTTAAATTTTGTATCTTGCAAGTTTACTGAATTAGTTTACAAGTTCTAATGGGGTTATTTTTCCAGAGTCTTTAAGATTTTCTATATATAAGATAATGTTATTTGCAAACTATATTACAGAGCTATATCAATCAAAGCAGTATGGTACTGACATAAAATCAGAAACATAGACCAATGGAACAGAATGTAGAGCCCAGAATTAAACCCATACATATATAGTCAATTAATCTTTGACAAGAGCACCAAGAATACCCAATGGTGAAGGGAAAGTCTCATCAATAGATTAGGAAACTTAGAAAACTGGATATACACTTGCAAAAGAATAAAATTGAACTCCTATTTTATACTATATATAAAAGTCAACTCAAAATGGATTAAATACTTAAATGTCTGATGTAAAACCATAAAACTCCTAGAAGAAAACTTAGAGAAAGCTGACATTGGTCTTGGTAATGCCTTTTTGTATATGACATCACAAGCACAGGCAACAAATACAAAAATAAACAAGTGGTACTACATTGTATTAGTCAGGGTTATCTAGAAGGACAGAACTAAGAGGCTATATATATGTATCATTTACATATATATCATTTACATATATATGTATCATTTACATATATGTATCATTTACCTATATATGTATCTTTTACATATATATGTGTATCATTTACATATATATGTGTATCATTTACATATATGTGTATCATTTACATATATATGTGTATCATTTATATATGTGTATCATTTACATATATGTGTATCATTTACATATATATGTATATATATACACACACACACACACACACACACACACACACATATATAAAGGGGAGTTTATTAAGGAGTATTAACTCACAAAATCACAAGATCCCACAATAGGCCTTCTGTAAGTTGAGGAGCAAGGAAGCATGTCTGAGTCCCAAAGCTGAAGAACTTGGAGACCAATGTTCAAGGGCACGAAGCATCTGGTATGGGAGAAAGATGTAGGCTGGGAGGCTAAGCCCATCTAGCCTGTTCACATTTTTTTCTGCCTGCTTTATATCCTGGCTGCACTGGCAGCTGATTAGATGATGCCCACCCAGATTAGGTGTGGATTTGCCTTTCCCAGCCCACTGACTCAAATGGTAATCTTTTTTGGTAACACCCTCACAGACATATCCAAGATTAATACTTTGCACCCTTCAATTTAATCAAGTTGACACTCAGTATTAATATCACATACATTAAACTAAAATTCATCTGCATAGCAAAAGAATAATCAACAAAATTCAAAGGCAACATATAAAATGGGAGAAGATATTTGTAAGGCAAATACCTAATATGGGGTTCATATCCAAAAACATAAAGAACTCACACAACTCAATAGCAAAAAATAAAAATGGACAAAAGAGCTGAATAGAATTGGTTGGGCGCAGTGGCTCATGCCTGTAATCCCAGCACTTTGGGAGGCCAAGGCAGGTGGAGCAAAACATCAGGAGTTTGAAACCAGCCTGGCTAACATGGTGAAACCCTAGCTCTACTAAAAATACAAAAAATTAGCCACGTGTGGTAGCACGTGCCTCTAGTTCCAGCTATTTGGGAGGCTGAGGCAGGAGAATCGCTTGAACCCGGGAGGTGGAGGTTTCAGTGAGCCAAGGTCACGCCATTGCACTCCAGCCTGGGTGACAGAGTGAGACTCTGTCTCAAAAAAAAAAAAAATTAAATTAAATGTACTTTTCTGGATTATTGTTATTTTAAAAAATAAAAAATTCATTACAGTTAGCAATAGACAATGCTATTCTGGACTTTATTCTCTGATGTATTTGTTAAGAACTTTTTCTTTAAGAGCACCAAGTGATAATTTATTGATTTGTGAATTTTCAGCTTGTACTATTTCATTTTCTAAATCTTTTAAGTTTGCAAATTAGAGCCTCAGGAGCTGAATAATTAAATGAAACCAACGACAACAAAAACCACTGCCTTTGAGTGATGGTTGTCTCTAAGCAAAATGAAAAGAATAAACCTGGTAATGCCACAGACACATTTTGTAGAAAAGTTGAAAGCTTTATGAACAGTGTGAATTCCAGAATGGGGTAATAAAATAAGCAAATAAATTAGTAAACTTTAGCCAATACAAAGCACATTCTTTTTTTTTTTTTTTTTTTGAGACAGAGTCTCACCCTTTCACCCAGGCTGGAGTGCAGTGGCGCTATCTCGGCTTACTGCAAGCTCTGCCTCCTGGGTTCACGCCATTCTCGTGCCTCAGCCTCCCGAGTAGCTGGGACTACAGGGGCCTGCCACCACACCCAGGTAATTTTTTGCATTTTTAGTAGATACAGGGTTTCACTGTGTTAGCCAGGATGGTCTCGATCTCCTGACCTCGTGATCCTCCCGCCTGGGCCTCCCAAAGTGCTGGGATTACAGGCATGAGCCACCACACCTAGCCCAAAACACATTCTTGAGAAATATTTTTGTCTAAAGAAAATTACATTTGTGAGTAGAATTTTCTATATTTTTGCAGGAAAAAAAAAGCAGCGATTAAAATGCTATAGCAGACAAGACCTGCTCTGGGCACTAAACCGACAGAGCTATCTATATGAGTTTCCTATGTCTGCTGTTAAGAAACAACCACAAAGTGAATGGCAAAACACCATTAGAAATGTATCCTTCCATAGGTCTGCAGACTGGAAGTCTGAAATCCAGTTATCAGCAGGACCATGCTCTGTCTTAGCCTCTAGTGGTGTGGACAATCTTTGTATTCCTTGGCTGGTGTTATATAACTTGTCTTTCTGCCTCCTTCAACACATGGTCTCTTCACTCTATGTGTCTGTGTCTTCACATGGTAGTCTCCTTTGTATATGTCTGTCTCTGTGGCTCTTCTCCTCTTATAAAGACAACAGCCATATTTGATGAGGGTCCTACCCTATTCCAGTAAAACCTCATCTTAACTATTAATATATTACATCGGCAAAGACATTATTTTCACATGCACAGGGGTTAGGACTTCAACGTATCTTGGAGACACCATTACACATACAATACTAGCTATTAAAAAGTGACACTAATTTTATAGTATTGACTTTAATTTTGGAAATAGAATTTTTATGTTCATAAATGTTTATTAGTTGCTTACTGTTCTATATTTAAACAAGCAACTCATACTATAATTACAGTATAAAAATTGTCTAACGTTTACACATACCAGAAAGATACATACAGGTCATAGATAAACAATTTACAGCTTAATTTTACCTTTAGTTTGCTATAAAAATATTTGGAAACTCATTTCACCTCTGGCATCTTAATATCCTCATGAAATAGCCCCAGTTGAAATTTGAGGGGACAGGTCTTTTACCATCAACAGCTTTAGAAATCCTGGTATAAGGCATGAGATGGTGCTGAGGTAAGTGTAGGAAGGTTCAAGGCAGAATTGATATATATCTGCCATAGGTTGGGCTGGTTCCTCAGAGGCAACCATTAAGCCAATGTCAGTATTTACAAGTCAGAAGTAGCCCTGCTTATTGATGACATGTCACAAGCTAGGGGACTAGAACTGGAGATAAGAATCCAGCGCCAAGGGAGGAGATTTTCAGCAAGCAGGCTCAGAAAGCTGAGGTTCTGAGAAGGTACTGAAGCCTCCCCACACAAACCGACAAGGATTAGAGGTATTAGGACTGAATTAAAATGTGGAGTGTATCTCTTAGTCTGTAGTTCGGGCATTGTTCTCTGGTGCCTTTCGAAATTTCTGTGGAGAGACTGTCCAAAGCTTCTGAAGATCCCAAAGGTACACGATAAAACTTTATTTTTTTTTTGAGACAGTCTCGCTCTGTCACGCACGCTGGAGTGCAGCGGCGAGATCTCAGCTTGCTGCAGCCTCTGCCTCCTGGGTTCAAGTCATTCTCTTGCCTCAGCCTCCCAAGTACCTGGTATTACAGGTGCCCTCTACTACGCCCAGCTAGTTTTCGGTATTTTTAACAGAGATGAGGTTTTGTGTCTGAAATTGGTGGGTTCTTGGTCTCACTCACTTCAAGAATAAAGCCGTGGACACTCGCCATGAGTGTTACAGTTCTTAAAGATGATGTGTCTGGAGTTTGTTTCTTATGATGTTTGGACGTGTTTGGAGTTTCTTCCTTCTGGTGGGTTCCTGGTCTTGCTGGCCTCAGGACTGAAGCTGCAGACCTTCACAGTGAGTGTTACAGCTCATAAACGCAGTGTGGACCCAAAGAGTGAGCAGCAGCAAGATTTATTGCAAAGAGCAAAATAATAAAGCTTCCACAGTGGGGAAGGAGACCCCAGTAGGTTGCCAGCTGCTGGCTTGGGCAGCCTGCTTTTTATTCCCTTATCTGGCCCCACCCACATCCTGCTGATTGGTCCATTTTACAGACAGCTGATTGGTCAGTTTTGGCAGAGTGCTGATAGGTGCATTTACAATCCCTGAGCTAGACACAGAGTGCTGATTGGTTCATTTACAATCCTTTAGCTAGACACAAAAGTTCTACAAGCCCCCACTAGATTAGCTAGACACAGAGCACTGATTGGTGCATTTGCAAACCTTGAGCTAGACACATGGTGCAGATTGGTGCATTTACAATCCTCTAGCTGGACATAAAAGTTCTCCAAGTCCCCACCCAACTCAAGAGCCCAGCTGGCTTCACCTAGTGGATCCTGCACCAGGGTCTGTGGTGAAGCTGCCTGCCAGTCGTGCACTGTGTGCCCACACTCCTCAGCCCTTGGGTGGTCAATGGGACCAGGCACCACAGAGCAGGGGGCAGTATGCCTACTGGGGAGGCTTGGGCCACGGTGGTAGCCCGTGGGGGGCTTGGGGCTCAGGCATGGTGGGCTGCAGGTCCTGAGCCCTGCCCCCAGGGGAGGCGGCTGAGGCTCCCTGAGAATTCCAGCATAGTGTGGGCGGGTTGGCAGTGCTTGGGGACCCGGCACACCCTCCGCAGCTGCTGGCCCAGGTGCTAAGCCCTCACTGCCTGGGCGGGGGGCTCCAAGTGCTGGCCCTGGTAGTACCCGGAACTCGCGCTGGCCCCCTGAGGCCAGCTCACCCAGAACTCGCTCTGGCCGGAGAGCGCCATGCACAGCCCTGGTTTCCGCCCACGCCTCTCCCTGCACACCTCCCCATAAGCAGAGGGAGCCGGCTTCAGCCTGGCCAGCCCAGAGAGGGGCCCCCCTACAGCGCAGTGGCAGGCTGAAGGGCTCCTCAGGCATGGCCAGAGTGGACGCAGAGGCCGAGGAGGCGCCGAGAGCGAGCGAGGGCTGCTAGCACGTTGTCACCTCTCAGTTTCACCATGTTGGCCAGGCTGATCTCATCTCAAACTGATGACCTCAGGTAATCCGCCCGCCTGGGCCTCCCAAAATGGGGGGATTACAGGCGTGAGTGACTGCACCCAGCTGGTACATGATCAAACATTTTAAGGACCGCTATGATCAGCTCAGTAGCTTCCAGCTGTGAAGATCCCAGGAAACAGGCAGGTTGACAAGAAATAAGAGTCTACATGTGATCCACTCACCAACGTAAATAAGTCTGATCCATTGCGTATTGCCATCAAAACAATTTATTCATATGAATCTTTCAGTGAGGCTGGAAATTATTCAGACTAGGGTGCAGAACTTCTCATCCTGTATGCTCTATGAGGAAAATGTATTCAAATCTGAGGGCAAATAAGTAACTGTGATATTGACTTTCAAGCAGAATTATAAGATTCCAAGGAAGGATTTGCATGTAAAGCAAACTGTTATTCTAGCTTTAACAATTGGTAGAATTTTAAAGTTCTAAGGTGTAAGAAATTATATATATATGTGTGTGTGTGTATGCGTGTATAATATACACACCATCTAGAATTACATAAAAATGCATTTTAAGTCGTTTTATTTACACAAAAATTATTACTCCTCATTTCAGAGCTCAAAAATAATATGCAAAACTCTCCCGCGATAATGGAATAGTACCCCAGGTGAAGAGGTGGAATTGGCAAAAACCACATTCTCATGTCGTTGCCTCAGAAAACAGTAAGGCCTCTCTGCTTCCCCCAAACCCTAGGACTGGTTTCTCTTCCCTATTTGCCACCTTTATTTCACATTATCTTTTTTTTATTCTTGCTGATTATGCATTTTTTCATCAAGTCCCCAACTCTCTGTACCTACAACTTTGTATCTTTTCCCTCTTTCTGCTTTCTTTTTTTACTGCTGATACAACTAGACCCCTTCCACACTTCATCTTTCTCATTAAAATGGCCCTAATTTAAAACTCAAATTTATCTCTCCCTCCTTTCTCTTTATCAAATAATTCTACCTTCTTCAGTTTTAATTATAAGCACTTAATCATAGTAATATTTTCTTTAAAAATTCTCAATTTGAAACACCATGACTCATCCCTGCCCATTGGTACCTCCTGGTTGTGGAATCAACTCAATTTTTAAAAACACTTTCAATTTGCTTTTCACTTCATTTTCCTTCTATAAACCTAACCTGAATAAAGATATTTGGTGAATTGAGCCACCAAATTAATTAGCTCTCAGGTAATCTCTAACAAATGGCAATTTTAAGAAATCAATCAAATAACAGAATTATTTGGTTGATATTTTAGGGGATTATTTGAATGAATTCCCATCTTTAAAAGTGCACATCTCGGCTGGGTGCGGTGGCTCACGCCTATAATCTCAGCACTTGGGGAGGCCGAGGCGGGCGGATCACGAGGTCAGGAGATCAAGACCATCATGGCTAACATGGTGAAACCCCATCTCTACTAAAAATACAAAAAATTAGCCAGGTGTGGTAGCGGGCGCCTCTAGTCCCAGCTACTTGGGAGGCTGAGGCAAGAGAATGGTGTGAACTTGGGAGGCGGAGCTTGCAGTGAGCCGAGATGGCACCACTGCACTCCAGCCTGGGCAACAAAGCGAGACTCCATCTAGTGGAAAAAAAAAAAAAAAAAGTGCATGTCTCAGTCAGTCTACTTTGTTTCTCTTATTTAAAATTCCATTGTTTTTATTTGTAAATAGGGGGAAAAATGTACCATATAGTATACCTGACATATTTTCTTACAAAACACTTCGTAGATTACATTACTCTGTTTTGGATTTTTTCAGATTAACTCTAAATGAGATCACAATGAATGCAATACTCATAACAAACTTACTAACATATTTTAAGGCAATTTTGAAAGAATCATTTTGCTTCTTCCACTCCTCAGTTCGACTTACTAAAATAAGCCATATTTCTAAAAGTTGGGTAGTTTTCCAGTATTTTAGGTGCTGCTGATTTTAAGAAATATCAAACATTGTATAAATAAAATTGGTTGTTATAAATGATTTTATGGATTATATTCAGACTAAAGTGGTCAATTTATATCTGGATAAGACATATGATATCTGATATATTTGACAAAATCTCATGAGGTTTTTCTAATTAATAAAATTTATTTTCTAACATGCCAAAGTGCAAGTTATGAGCTTAGAGCAGACATGTAATTTCATCTTCCAGTGGCCCAGGCCAACCCCTCCATTTCTTAGCTTGTGTAGTATCTGGGTAAAGGTTTTGAGTAATTTTTGGTGTGATTTAGAGCTATGAGAGAGTTTTCTTATTTAATAGAAGTTTAAACACTTCTATTTTTAATTTAATTTCCTGCACACACACAAAAATACTACGGTAATGATTCATTCATTGTGTTATAGACATGGCTTTGGCTTCAAGCTGCTCCCGGCATGTGACTGCATATAAAGACAAATTCTGCAAGATGTGTTATCAGTGGAATCTGCCATATTCTTACTACTCACCAAACCTTAGTAGGACTGTTTTATACAACTTATTGCCCTCAAGTTTTATTAGACTTTCTCCTTATAGTTTCTAAGTCAGAGAATTTGACCAGAAAAAAAAATGTATATCTTCTATTTTATTTTTTAAATTTAAACAATAATGTCTTTGCCATATTTACAGAACAGGGCTGTATATAGGAAGCTTTTGAGGCCAACTACAGTAAAACTCAGAGTGCAGAAAATGCATTATTGCTCTTTTCAATGCACTGTGAATGCCAGAGCCATTGTGTTAGATTATATTGATTCTGGTTTGACCATGTGACTAGTTTTGACCAATGGCACTTGAAGGGGTGACAGTTGCTTTAGCCTAGTCCCCCAATGAGAGGCATAGTGATTAGATCTAAATTGGATGCACAAAATACAGCAGAACCATGTAGTCAGACTTGCAGATTCTTGCATGATTTATTGCACCTTTGGGTGTTGCATTTTCCTGAAATATTATTGCCATAAAAGGTAACTAATACAGCTCTCTTCTGTGAGGAGACCTTATTTCCACAACACAATTGGCTTTACCCAGTTTGTGCAATGAACAGAGCTTTCAATCACAACATATTGGAAAAGTTCTCTACCTCAGAAGTAGATGATAATAAACACAACTGGACACATGTATTACTAACCTAATGCTGTTTCATATAATAATTGAATCTAGCCTGATATTAGGAATAAGGAGGTGGAAGTTAAAATGTCAATTTTCCCACCAATGTGTGTGATCTTACCAAATCACTTTGCCCATTTTTTGTTCCCATTTTCTTTACTGAACTGTCAGCATGTTGATCTTGGACTTCTAACCTCCAGAACAGTGAAAAAATAAATTTCTATTGTTTAAGCCATCCAGTCGGTGTGTGTATGCTGTTATGCAAGCCCTAGCAAACAAATACACTTTCCTTCCAACTAACTTAGAGATCTCAATGTTCTTACCAATGATTCGGTTCTTTCTTTATCTCATCAGTCACAAAGAACGCCTAACTTCATTACGAGAAAGTCTTTGGGATCTGCCGGTCTCTATTCCCCATGTGGCTTTTCACTTTAAATGCCAGAGCATAGCTTGTCCCAATGACTTCACACATGATTTTCATTAAAGAAATCTCAATTCTAGGACATCTTTTAAAACACCACCAACTATCATCTTTTTAAAGAGGAAATCTCCTCGATCCTTGCCCTCATTTAAAAATTATTAATATACAATATCTTATCTTAATAACTCTCCTGTGCCTATTTTCCCATTTTCCAGGGAAAGAAAATATTGACCCCAGTATTCTATGAAGATTCATCCATTGCCCCTTTAAAGTTCCTTCTCATATCCTCCAATCGTAGAAATGTCTAATTGCATAGGGGTCTTGAAAATGTCCTACAATTTTCTGAGACCAGGTTTTGGTTAACACCTTCTATGCCACACTTTAATTCCTCCAGAAATGCTATCATGTGCAACCAAGTATGTTTTACATAGTTGCCAGTTCGTTAGCTAAGTCTGCCTTTTGCTCCCTGGGTTTCCATAGACAGGTTACCAATTTCCTTTAAATAATACTTGTCTCTGATTTATAATCATTCTCGAGTCTCTTTTTTCAAACTAATCAAATCTAACATTTTCTCCTAAGAAACAGGACACAGTTTTAATCTTTAATTTTTCAGAGGTCTACTATGGTAGCTAAAACAAAAGATATGATTCATAGTTGTAGGACTGAGTTCACCTAAACATCATTTTCAGCAACTAAATATTCTAAAATATTGTGATAGATTCAAGTGAAGAGAGGCCTTGAGATACCAGAATAACAACACTAGCGACACTGCCATCAAAGAGAACCCAGTTTAGTGGAGATATAATGCCGAATAAAGTCAGAATAGCAACAACTATGAGGTGCTACAGTGCACACACAGGAAACGCTTCGGCTGACTTTGGGTGCGAAAAGCTGGAAAGTAAGGTGATTCTTGAAGAATAAGGTAGTTTTCAGGCCTAGGGGACTAGGAAATGATATAATAGTTAAAGGAGATAACATAGATATAATATTGCCATGTGAAACATCATAATATGTGATTGAAAATAAAAGCAAATCAACATTGTTGAAGAACTAAATGGTTGACAGATAATACATTCCCCTTTCTCCACAAAACAAGTTGAGATGAGAAGAATGGGGCAGACACTGATTTTACCCACAGCCATGTCTGAGAGAAGTTGTGGACATTCCTAGATCTTTATAACTTCCAAAAGTTTGTTACCTTTTTACCGTTATATCCACGCAGTAAGTATCATAAAGACTTAAGAACAGCAAAAGCAGTTGCATTCTTATGCTTAGTAACAAAAGGGGAAAACTAAGCAAATTATTTTTCTCTGTACCCAGGACTGATATGCTTAATAGCAATGTTATAATGCAAAAGAAAATAGACTGAATCCCTTTGGCTTCAAGCAAGGAAGAAAAGAGAATTTTAAAAGGCACCCTAATTCATGCAAAATGCCTTTGGAAGAAGAGGATATTTCAGATTAACCAGCCAGGTACTGACTCTGTCAGTGTCCCTTAAATCTTAACTCCCCACTCCATTCCTTTTTCCTTTCTTTAATTCTTGGTTTCTCAATATGCTGTTAACATATTACTTTCCTCATATACAGTGAAAATAGAGAGTTGCTGTTTGGGGTAATCTGAGAGGTATAAAGAAAGACCTTGATAGATCCAATATTTCCCCCCACCCCTGTTACTTGAAAAATTTCTGCTTTCTTTATTTGCAAAAAATCCTATATGATATTCCATGTGCAGGAATGAGGTAGTTAAAAGGATGAAAAATAAGAGAGAAGAGATAACACCATCCAAAGAGACTTGTCTGCAGCCTAGTGCTGTTCAATAACAAAGCAGGTATCTGTCTTGCCTAGGTTAAATAAAACATCAATTGCCCCTGTGAAATATACTTAAAATTACAATTTACGGACATGTACTGGCAATTGCAGGCACCAAAATAAATATGTTTCAGTTACAAACAGACCACATATCAGAAAGTGTCCTAAGAGACTGATAAGCAAGGCCACGGTGGGGAGAAACATATAAAAAGGTTTGTGATGGATGAATGGGAGCAGCAAAATTTGTTTATGGCAAAGGGAAAAGAGGCACGATGTGGGAAGAAAAAATGAGAGAGAATAAATTGTTGTTTGCATGGGAAGGGACTTTTTCTGTAATGTGCTATACTTCGCATTCAGAGATGAGGCTCCTGATAAAATGTGTTCTGGGTGGATACTTATGGTTGAAAAAAATATGTTCATAAGTTGGATTTGACAAATAAAACAAAGCAAAATTTAACAGCAACAATAAAGAATAAAGAGTTGACTGTACCCTAAATATGATTTTATTTGGGAGACCAGAAAACTAAAAGTGAAAGTTGATTAAGTAAAATAAAGTTAGGATTTTCTTTGTTATCTTCCGACTCTCCCAAAGGTTAAAGTGTTGTATTGCAACAGAGAATGCACACCTGGAAGTAAAAAGAGGCACTTCTTTAGCTTTTAAATTATTCTTGGTGCAGATTCCACCTCACCCCACCCTTCTGGCTCCTCCATCCCCACTCCGTCTCAAGATCCCTGTCGTGATTTTGTAGACTTTGCCATGAGATATGTTAAAGTAAATTGGAAGGAAAAAAAATGTGCTTTTGTCAAAAAGTATTTGGGAGAAACTTCTATACAGCTTTAATTGCCTTGTCCAGCTGCTTGTATCTTTCCAGGAAGTTTGAGGATGAATTAAGCTATGTAGGATGAGCAATGTGGACTTAGTTGTCTGGGAGGGTCCCAATTTTAGCACTGAAAGTCCCACATCCTGGAAATCTCCTAAGTCCAGGTAGCATTGGTCCATTGGTCAGGCTAGAAATAGGAGAAATTAGCCTCTTGCCCGTAGCTAGAGTTAACGGAGTGTTAGGAGACGCAGACAGACCTTGGTACCCCTACCTATTAAGTAAAGAACCATGGGATGGAGGCAGCACTTATTAGATTGGAAAAAGCATAAACTCTTTCCAAAGAGCCAAAGTTTCTGAGATAGGATATCTTATTCCTTGTGGGTCTATAAAAATCTGCAGACAATAGGAGCTTAGGAAAATGTCATGACAGCCGTCACCCCTCCCAGTAAAGGACTACTTAACAAGTGAAGGGACCCAATTGAGAAGTTCTGAAGTCAACAACTCAGTAGAACAGGAGATGGTCATTACTATGTTCCTCTAGAATTTCTTACTTCAGAAACCACAGAGTACATGTTCAGGTGAGGTGGAAAAGCCACCATCACCATATGCATTAGATAAACCCAAACTGCCCTCATTGCTGAGCAGGCTTAGGGAATTAGCTACTGGCCAAGGCATAGGTGACTGGTTTCCAGTAATACATGGAAACGGATTAGGTGTGGGCTCCCAGAATTTTCATTGACAGAAAGATAGAAAGGAAGCAGACATAAAACATTCCATTTCCTCCAACATGCCCTCGACCCTGACATAAGCAGATAAAACTCTCTTATTTCTGATAATAGGTGCAGTAGAAGCCTGTAAAGGTAAGAATTGAATTTAGATGGGAGGAAATTGAGTGGATATTAGGAAAATGAGGTTCAAAAGCAAACCCTGATGGAGGTGTGTAAATGACAGTAGTTGAAATTGCAATTATTGAATTAAGTTAAAATTGTCCTTCTCTCTCCTGTAAATCAGCCTTATCAGTTTGACCATGAGTAACAAACTGATAAGGCTGATTTACAGGATAAGGAAGGAAAGATTTGGGGGTTAGGGAATATTTGCAGCTCACTCTTATACCACCATCATCTTTCTAGAAGAGATTCATTTGATTTTTTTTTTTTTTTTACTAAACGTTAATTTATACTTAAAGCACTATTTGTGTGACTTTCTAGAGAGAGGATTCTCACCTGGCCTGTAAGCAAAAGCTGACTGAACCATGTGATTACTTCTCATCACAGGACGTGCTACAAAGCCCTTCTTATGGCATACTAATAGGACAAGAATGTTAAGTTACTCAAAAGCAATCCCCAGTGTTTACCTGTCTATGTCTTCCTTGAATGACAAAAGGAATGTGAAGTCTGTGTGTTGTATAGCCAGAGGCAAATAGTGAATCAAAGCTAGGCAGGAGTGTTTCTTATTAAAATAGAATAGACTTGTCTGAGTAAACCACACTCAGAGATGTACATACCAGATATCCCACAGAAAATGGCTTACAAAGTAGCTGAACTAATTATACTTAAAAACTAAGATGGATAGAGAAGAAGGAATACTGAATGTTTGAAAATACAATTTAAATACTAAATAAGGAAGACATAATATAAGAAGGTATGGAAGAGTATAATGAGAAATGAATCTGGAAAGATTGACCATTAAAAGGGAAAGGATGACTGAATCAAGAAAGAAACAATGCAATGTATTGGGAATGCTTATTTAACTGGTTAAATTACATGTGAAAGATGTGGCTATCTTGACCAAAGAATTTCCCTAGGACAAAATATGGAATAACATTTTCTTCTTTTTTATTTGTCATATGTACCTCTTTGGTTCTAAGACATGGCAATATATTTATTAATAACCAATAACGTCAAGCTGAATCATTTTATTTAATCTGAGGATGACTCACCATACAGAAGTAGAAAAAGCGTCACCTTCAGAGTCTGAAATCCTGGCCTCCAGCCTTGAGACCATGCTTCCAATTTTTAAGGCCTTAAAAAGGCCTTACAAATTTATATAAGACTTCAGAATTTCAGTATCCTACCAATGGAATGGTAGAAAAATATGTCAATTTTAGAATTATAAGAAAGATAATATTCAATGACATATCTGTAAGCATTTAAAATTGCTAAATACATTCTACATTTAAAGCACGAGTATTCATAATTCTGTTTTCTTTTTCACAGCTTTCTAACATCTTGCTCTAGGCTGCTAGGATTTGATTGAGCTACAAGGCTCACTTTATTATTTTATGCAAATCATCTGAATGCTTGTCTGATTTCTTCAACTTACAGCTCTGCTATCCTCATGCTATTTCCCTTAATAATAATAGTAATAATAATAATATTAAGTGTCCATCATAGTGCCAGGGATCACATAGAGACATAATAATATAGGGTGGAATAAGGGAAACTTACTCTCTCTGAGTATCTCTTATGTGCTACTTGTCAGTGCACAGACCTTTCAAAGAAACTCCCAGAAAACTTATCCTCACATCTAAATGTCGTGGCATCCCTATGCCTAAATCAATCACTGGAAAAGCAAACTTGACTACTGTGGTAAGTTAAGAGAATTTAAATCCTAAAACCCAAAGCTCCTTAGGAAGAGCCAATACATGAAGAAAATTAGGGTTTCATTGAGATGGAGAAGAGTGGGCATGTTTGGTTGACAATCATCAGTATCTACATACAAGCAATATTCCTAAGTATGTAGCATTAATTATGTACTCCCATGAAAACAGAGGAATATATATAGATATAATTAAGAAGTCAGATTTTATATATGTTGAAATTATTTTTCTGATTTTTATGTTGGCAAAAAATTTTCTAATTTTCAATAATTCTAGATCTTTTCTGAAATTGTTAGAACAAGATACATTCATGGGAGACATATTAAAGGGTTAAAATTTTAGAAAAGTAAACAAATCTCTAATTCCAGGTCAACATTATATGTCATGCAATATTCAAAATCTAAATATCAGCTGCTTGCAACTACCAACAACAGAATCTGCATCGTGTGTGCAGAAAATCACACTCTGCGGAAATGGATTAAGCCAGGTGATTTTGTGTTTGTGGATGTGATTTTTACCATTGTTTTAAATTTATTTGTACATTTCTCTTCTGTTGTTAACAGAGGGAGACAGACTAATTTATATTTTACGATTTTTGTGAGAAATTGCCATGGAGATGTGGAATGGCTGCTCTGTGATTTATTTCTGTGATACATTAGAATCCTGGTAGATTAACATTCTGATCAATTCTGGTTAGAGTAACCCATATTAACACTTTCTGATGCCACTTTTCTGTTTTTGACATCTCACTAAGTGAGGAGAAAAATGATTCTTGTGATAAAAGAAAATAAAAGTAATCTTTCTAATAAGCTACAACTTCAGAAGTTATGAATATGTGATACCACAGTGATTAACAATGACTTGTAAAATGCCTTATGAAGTGCTGACTTAAACCTGACATATAATAGTGTAAACTTTAGGTATTGTTTACTTTAGAAAAAAATGTAAGTTTCAAGATATTTCATGGAAATCAAGTAAGCTAAATTTTATTTCCGTGACTTCAGGTGAAAATCAGGAGAGGCAGGGAAAGCTTCAAAGTAATTCTGAATTCTAAAAAGGAGACTGCCTTGAAATCAAAATTCCATTTCTTTTCTAATTCTCAGCCATTCATGCATCACTGCAATCCTGTATAACACAACTTTGCTGAAGGGCTCTTGGGTAGGAATGCAAGCTGAAAACCATTGTATTTGGGATCATATCTCTTAAGGCCATGCTTATCAAACGAATAAAGACTTTGGTTCTTTAATAAAACAACTCTTTCTTATCTATATGAACACAGTATTTTTGCAATGGAAGTTGCCTGCTCCCTGGAAAATGCTTTAGAATATTGAACTAAATTCACTTATGACGTCAGCTTTTTGCTAGTAGTGAATGGTTTTTCAGATGCCAACAATTGTAGATATAAAAGAAGAAACTAGTATGTTTGCACTAGTATATGCAAATCAAACCAGTACAACAACAATGATAAATGTTATCAAGTACTATAACAATAACAACAAAAACAAATCAGCTTGTTAGAGTAATACATAATGCAATTTAGGGTAATCAATCACATAGACATCGCATTAGGTCCACTAGATTGAATAAATATATCTATTGGTTAGTTAGTAATATCCATGGCGTTTAGATATATTCCTAAGCACTGGTCTGAGCTAAGATGAGCACTAAGAGATTACTGTCTTTCAATTTGATTAGGACCATAAGACAAATCCTTATAAGATTTATGGAATCTTTATTTTCTCATGCAATCCTATGGGGTGATTCTTATTTCCATTTTATAGAAAATATCTCTGAGTCTCAGGTTAAAAGAGTAAAGAGAGAGATGGAGAAAAATGAGATTCAAAAAGCATCAAGATAGAATCTCTCTACATTCTGCCTAGGATGCACCCCAGCTATTACAGCCACCCTGGATGACTTTACACTCAGGACTTGGCACTTAGGAGTGTTACCTACAATGTGGAAGATGGGGAAAGAACTCCCCACATACAAAGGATTCACTGTGCTCCCATTTTGCTCTCTCAGTGGGTTTGGGTATTAACCGAGGACCAGAGCCAGCATCATATACAGCACCCTGGATGTGAAGCACGCAAATCTCAGGAGAGCCATGACAGTCTCAGAGGAGATATTAAAGAAGCTAAGCTAGAGCTTTTGCAGTGAACTGAGCAACGGCAAACCAAGGGGGATAAAATAATGCACTAAAGTTAGGAGACAAAATAATAGGTAGGAGTTAGAAGAGGCAAGATATAAAAGCTGAGGCAGGGTCAAAACAAAAGAGATATCAATAGGAAAAACACAATGGATTGATTATATGGAGTTGTATCAAATCCTGCCAATTTAAGAATGAATTGTTTTGCTACAAGGTTCTGGGAACTTTTATTTGCAGTCTATTATACTTTCACTTGGCAGACAATGGCCTATAAAGGGCTCAGTGCTCATCAGTAAACCACTGGCTAAAGTGTTGATCGACCCATTTCTTTTCTTTTACACACTTTCATGTAAGAAAATAAAGGAACTGATGTTCTCAATTTATTCAAAATTATAGGAAAGAAGAAATGCACCAAAAAATTATGAAATGCTTCTAAATAGTTTCTAGACTATTAAAATAATTAATTTACAAAAATTTCAGGTATAAAAATTCTGGTACCCTCATTGACTGAATCCCATTTCTTCTCCCCCTGGCAAATGGCCCCTGCCTAACATTGCCCCCTCTTTGCCTCAAATAGAAGACCTATACATGCAGGAGACCTTGTCCAAAATTTTGACTGATTCAAAATTCTAGACCACTTTAACCAGTATTCTCCTTTGGAGAGCTTCATGACCTGGACAGCTGTACCTTGCTTCCTGTTGGTGATAATTGATATCAATAATTATCAATAATTGATAACAATTGATAATAATTTTACAGGCCAGAATCATCTCCTGAATCTCTGAGCTATTCACTATCTTAATATCTACTTAGTATCAGTCTGTATTATAATAGAGGCTAAAGACAATAAAGTAACCATCACATTGTTATTCTGCAAATCAAGCTATTCCTTTTCCCAGGGCCACTCTCATGACTTGTCCATGATCCTTTGTACTCTGCTTTTCTTCTTGTAGGAATCCTGCCTCTTCAAAAGGGCTGATTTCCTCTAAGCATTAAACAAAAATGAGGTGTTTACTCTTCCTAGAACAGTGTCTTTCTACTCAAGTGGGTGTATCTTTATTATTGATTATTTTAATAATTAATTTCCTTACTGATTAATTGATTTCTCAGTCTTATTTGTTGTGGTGGAAACTATTCATGAATATCTCAATATAAAAATCATATATTTCAGTTTTTTTAGAATCTATAGGGTTAGAAGTTTGATATTAATAATTTATGCATATTTCTGATGAAACGTTTATTTCATAATTACAGTTTTACCCCATTCCCTAATAATGCTGTTTGCCTTGAACTCTATTTTGCCTGCTGTTAATATTGTGAAAATAATTATATTTGTAATATTTTTATTATTAATTAAAATCAACACTTTATTCAAATTTTCTTGCTTTTTATTGCCCTTTTTCTGTTCCAGGATCCTTTTCAGGATAAACCATTACATTGAGTTCTTGTGTCTCCATAGGCTGTTCTTAGCTGGATCAGTATCTCAGACTTTTTTTTTTTCATGACCATGAGAATTTGAAGAAATACTAGGATATTTTCATTCCATTGGAATTTGTTTGTTGTTTTTCTTAGGAATAGACTGGTGTTAGGGACTTCAGGAAGGAAGACCACAGAGGTGAAGTGCCATTATCATCTCATCATTTCAAGGGTACATAATATCAGCTTGACTTGCTTCTGTTGATGTTACCCTTAGTTACCTGGCTAAGATAGTGTTTGTCAGGTTTCTCCACTGTAAAATTGCTTCCTCCTTTCACTGCTGTACTCTAGATTTCTCCACCGTAAAATTGCTTCCTCCTTCCACTGCTGTACTCTAGATTTCTCCGCTGTAAATTTGCTTCCTCCTTTCACTGCTGTACTCTAGATTTCTCCACTGTAAAATTGCTTCCTCCTCACTGCTGTTCTCTTTAGAAAAAAGTGACTATGTGTAACCCACACTTAGGAAGTGAGGAGTCATGCTCTACCTCTCTGAGGGCAGATAATCTACATTATTTGGGATTTCTCTGCATGGAAGATTTGTGTATTCTTATTTATTTGATAATTTATTTATGTAAGCTTGGGCTAAAGAATACTTATTTATAAATTGAATAATAATTTCATACTATTTTATTTTTTGTTGTTACTCAGACTGTTCCACCTTAGGCAACTGGGGGCTCTTTCAGTTGGCTCATGTGTTCTTTTCATATTCTCCTACCATTTGTTTTGTTTTGTTTTGTTTTTACAACTTCTTCACTTTCTAGCAATACAATTTGTTACAGGCTCATCTTGTATGTTTCTTATCCCTGTTTCAGAATCAACTATTCTTCAAGAATCCCTGATTCTGCTTGTCAGAATGAGATTAGAAATGAGTTCTGAGTACAATGCTTGTTCCACTAACTTTATTTTGGTTAATATTTGTGTGATATCTATTTATATAATTTTACTGAAAACATTCTCTGTCACAATATTTTAGGTATTTCCTTTTAACATAAAATTAGATTCACAAATTAACTTAAATCTGTCTTGCAAAATCTAAATTTAATTGTTTTAATTTATTGTCATCACTGAAACATTAGGTATTACTTTGAAAATTGTGTTTTTATTGCATATTTAGCACATTTTTCTTTACTTCTGCTCACACTTTGTGCCTATTATCTGTTGGACTTACTGAATTTTCTCTGGCCCTCTCTCTTTTCTCTTTCTGATTTGTAGGTTAAACATTCTCTCTTTCTCTGTCTCTATTCTTTGGGTAACTCTTAACGTTTCCACATTAATAGTTTACTTAAAAATTCACTTTTGCCCCTTTGACTTGTATTTCAGCCTTACCCTTTTTTTCACTGCCCCTCCAATTTGTTAATTTTTAAAAATCAATGTTTCTTTCAATTTATACACATATTTACCAATTTCTGTATTCACTATTAATTTTATCATCCGGTTATTTCTTTCTAGGTTGACTTTTCTGCTTATTTGATCCTCTGCAATTCTTCCTCCAGTGATGGTCAGTTTCTATGAATTAAGGCAGCCTGGAGATAAGTTGCTAGTGAGCAGGAGCAGCAATGCAGCTCAGCTACTTGGTGACTGTGATACACAGCTTCTCAAAGTTTCACAGTCCTCATTTGTAGTATCAAGAAAATATTGCTATACAACAGATTATTCTAAAATGTTGTATCTTAAAACAACACACATTTATTATCTCACATTGTCTGCAACTCAGGAATTCAAGCACAGTTCAGCTGGGTTATCTGCTATATTATATCTCAAAACGCCATATTCGAGGTGTTGGCCAGGTTATGGGGTTTCATCTCAAAGCTCAAGTGGAAAGGCTTTACTTCCAAGTAGATTCAGTTCCTTTCGGTCTGTTGGATTGGGGGCTTTGGTAGCTGTTAGCCAGTGACCACTTCTGTTCTTTTCCCCCTGGGCCTCTTCAACATGGCAGCTTACTTAATTAAAATGTGCACTCCAACTAATCAACAAGGACTGAGTATAAGCAATGTAGTAACCACAGTCTTTTGTAACTTAATCCCGGAAATCACATCCCATTCTTTTTCTATATCCTATTTTTAAGTTTTGAGACGCACTCCACGTTGAGAAGAAGGAGATAACGTAGGGTTTGGACTCAAGGATGGAGATCATTGAGGATCACCTTAGAAGTCAGCCTACCACACCTATATAATGAAATTTTAATAGTAACTACCTCATGTGACTGTAAGTTAATATAAATGAAAAATTAAGATAAACACTTTCTGACTTATTTTAGCCTTGCCGTTATTAATTTACTGAGCCTATCTAAGCTTCTTTCTATGTTTCATATTCCTGGTGTTTCTTGGTTTAGCTGATTTCTGTATTTTATTTCCAGTCGTGACCCACGGTTCTTATGGTAAAACACGATCAACTTGACACAGGAAATCTGTGCCTCTTCTGGAAGTCAACACAGCTCCTCATAATAGATGCTATGTAAATGACGCAGATTTAATAATTTACACTATATTTACATAAACAAAAATTAAAATATGAAACCTGGTATCACAATGATTTCTCAATCTCAATTATTTCACATATTCACAAACAGATTGTTGGAGATCTAAGTGTGTGTCTATTTGTTTACGCTTAGTATTGATGAGGTTGATGTCAGAAAGCAACTTGAATGTGAAGAGATTTTTCATTCCCTCTTGGCTGTTCAGGGTCAATTTTAGTACCTCCATCTCTGTCCTGAGAGGGACAACTTTGGTGCACACAGATAAGAAATTTTTGTCACACTGATGTGCATTGATCACTAATATAATCTAGGAAACTATTTCTATTAACAAACTTTCAAATATCGACTGGAACTTGTAATACATAAGATACATAAGCATGGGAACATGGATAGAGAAATGAAGTTTAAAAGTTCTGACAGTCCTTTTATTACACACTAGCAATTTCAGAGATTTATAACTTAGCTGTAAAATTTATAGTTAGATCAGTCATTACCCCAGGGCCCAGTTTGGGGATGAATTTAATTTTGTAAGATGTCTTTTAAGCAAAATTTTGAGTGATAATAACACACATGATATACAGTTTTCACTTTGCAATGTTTAGATTAATAATGGAGGGATTAGGACATTCCATTTTAGGAAATTAAGGACCATATCCCTGCTATTTTATCCCTGATAAAATAGGTAACTTTTATCATTTACCTATTGATAACATTATTTTAAAGGTAATAATACTTTTGATCATACAGCAAATTGCAAATGAAAGTGCTCAAATTGTTAATGAATTATTCTATGCTGACAAGTTCTTATACGTGGCAGAAATTATACAAAGAAGCTGAATTAATGCAGCTATTGGGAGAAAAAAGAAAAGAAAAATATACAATTTTACGGGTTTTTTGCTTAAAATTAGTTCACTATGAGAATTGAAAATGACTTCACAGATAATACTGTTCAATTCTGTAATTTTCAGATGAGGAATCTGAAACTCATATTTATTGTGATGTCCTGTGACAGAGAAGCTGACTGGTAACGAATTATTTTCAGTTCCTTACTCCTACTTTATTGTCCATACTATCTTCTAGAGTTTGAATCGTACTTCTGATACACAGTTCATTTGCAATTTCCTGATTATTAATTATGTCAAGAATGTTCATTAGCAGTTTATATGCAGTCTTTTGAAAATGTCTGTTAAAATATAGCACTCACTTCTGTTGTATTGTTTTTGTTATTATTAAATTGGATATGTATTTTAAAATATAATCTGACTACAAGTCCTTTGACAGACAGATGAATCACAATTATTTTCTCCCATCTTGTGGCTTTGACATTTCTAGTTTTTGGTATTGCCTTTTGAAAAGCAGACAATTTAATTTTTATGATGTCCAAGTTAGCTTATTAGTAGTAGTAACAAAAGTCCATAGCATATTTAGATTTTCTTAGCTTTTGCCTAATATCCTTTTTTTTTAAAAAAAATTCTAGGTTCCCATACAGGATACCATACTAGATTTACTTTTCATATCTCTTTAGGCTTCTCCTAGCTGTGTTAGTTTTCCTGACTTTGATAGTTTTGATTAATACTTGTCAAGTATGTTGTAACATGTCCCACTGTTAGAATTTGTTTGATGTTTCTCTCATGAGAAGACTGGAGTTATGGGTACTAGGAGTAGGATCACAGAGGTAAAGGGCCATTTTTACCACATCATGTCAAGGGTACATACAATCAACATGATTTATGACTGCTGTTGTTGGCCTTGATTACATGTCTGAGTTAGCATTTCTCGGGTTTCTTCACTGTAAAGTTACCTTTCCGCCCCTTTCTGTAGCATGCAAAGGAAGAAAGAAAGTCAAAATATGCAGCTTAACATCTATGGAGTGTTATTTGAAATTTTTCTATGTGGGAGATTTGTCTCTTTTTATCTATTTATTAATTTATTCAATCATTAATTTGTGTTAGTAATGACACATGACTATTCATTTTATACTTTGGGTACAATCCAATAATAGTTTACTTTGTTTCCCAAACTGTTGTAGATTTGGCTGTTAGGAGCTCCTCTTTGCTCCTGTGATTCTTTGATGTATCCCGTCAATGTGTGTGGGTGCCTGTGTGTGTGTGTGTGTTTGTGTTGATACTTCTGACTTTCCATCTCTTCAGATATTTCAGGCTCTTCTTGTGTATTTCTTGCCCTAGTGCTACAATCACCCTTTTCTCCAAAAACCTCTTATTATTTTTATTTAATAATTGTATTTAGAAATCAGGATGTTGATGCTAGACTTGCTTATTGCCACTTGAGAATCATTATTTTAACCATCTCTCAGCTGACAAAGCAAAAAATATATGTATATATTAGCCCATGTTTATAAACATGTCTACAAATATTTATTTATGTAACTGTCAGGATCTACAGTAAGATAAACATGAGTTCACACAATTTTCCACAATTCTAGTTTATTACCACAGGAATTATACCTGCTTTCTCCCCTTGTAACTGAAAATTCTCACACTACCAGTGAGACACTGTGCTTTCCCTGAGAAACAATTCTATCAACTAGAGTACAGTGTCTATACTCAGTTGCTTTTGCCTTTAGTTTACGCAGACTCCATTCATTTTGAAAGATACTTACATCAGCATTTTTCCCTTTATTCCCTACAGTGTGATTGTTTCTTATATTTGTAATACACATTATATTCTCCGAACACATCCTGCATTCCTTCCTGGGATCCCCCAGCACCAAATAATTTTTAAAATTTGCATACATTAGGGCACACTCTTTGTGCTCTTCAGTTCTATGAGTTTTAACAAATATACAATGTCTCATATCCACTATTATTATATAAAATAATTCTGCTGTGAAAACAATCCTTTGCACTTCACCTGTTTAATTCTGTCCCATCTCTCTGAATCTCTAGAAATCATTGGTTCTTTTCTCTCTCTAGTGCTTTGCATTTCTAGACTGTATTATAATAAAAATCATATAGTATGTAGATATTTTAGGCTGCCTTGTTTCAACTATCTATATGCATTTAGAGTTCTTCTATGTCTTTTTATGTCTGGACACCTCATTTAATAACTGCGTAATAGTCCATTGTATGTATATACCAGTTATTAATAATTTACCCATTCAGTTGTCAAAGACCATCTTGGTTATTTCCAAATGTTGATGATTATGAATACATTTAAATAAAATTATTAAAAATATTTGCATGAAGTTTTTTTGCATAAACATAGGTTGCCAATTTGGGTAAATACCTGGGAGCGTGATTGCTGAGACTCTATTTAGCTTTTTAAAAAACTACCAGATTGTATTTAAAGTGGCTGTACTATTTTTCATTTTGACCAGCCACACATATGAATTCCTATTACTCTGCATCTTTACCAGCATTTCGCATTGGCAGGTTTTTTTTTTAATTTTAGCTAAACTATTAGATGTCTAATGGTTTTCTGTTATTACTTTAATTTGCAGCTCTCTAATGACAAATTATGAGCATTTCATATTTTTGTACATATATATATATATATAGTGAGTTCCCTCTTCTAATCTTCTACTCATTATTAGTTAAATTGTTTTGTTTTTTATTCTTGGCTTTTAAGAGATTTTTGTGTGTTTAAGAAACAAATTCTTTGTTAGATATGTGTTTTGCAAAGATTTTCTTTCAGTATATAGCTTGTCTTTTGATTCTCCTAACAGTGTCTTTCTCAAAACAGAAGGTTTTAATGTTAATTAAACCTTAATTAAATGTTTATTAACAAAGTCTAAATTCTTAAATATTTTATTTCATTGATTGTGATTTTGGTGTTGTTCTAAAATCTCACTGCCAAACCCAGTTCACATACATTTTCTCCTGTGCTTTATTCTAAAAATTTTAGAGTACCGTATTATATATTTAGTTATATGATTCATTTGAGTTTACTTTTGTGAAAAGTGTGAGATTTGTGTCTAATTTCATTTTTTTCCTGCACATGTGTTTCCAACTGTTCCAGCTTCATTTTTTTAAAAGCAACAACCTCTTTACTAGTGTGTGTGTCTTGAGTCAAAAATCAATTAACTTTATTTTTGTGGGTCTATTCCCAGGCTTTCTATTTATTCCTGTTAATCCCAGTATATATTCTTTTGCCAATGTTAAGCTGTCTTAATTACAGTGTCTTTTTAAATTTTGAAGGTGGTAGTGTCAGTCCTCCAACTTTGATCTTTATTGTGTTGATATTTCAGAGATTTATGTATCTTTAAATAAATTTTAGAATCATTTTATTTACATTCACAGAATAAATTTCTGGGACTTTGTTTAGTATTACCTTGAATCTATAGATCAACTTGGAAAAAAGAAATTGACATCTGACTACTGTTGAGTCTTCTAATTCATGAACATGGAATATGTTTCTATTTGTTTAGATTTTCATTGATCTTCTTCAATCAGTTTTACAGTTTTCTATGTACAGATCCTGTAATAGTTTTCTACGTATTTTATTTTCTTGTTTCAACTGTAATTGATACTGTACTTTAATTTTTTGTATAAGAAAGTATTTGACTTTCATTTGATAACCTTGAATTGTATGATCTTGCTGTAATCATTTATTAGTTTCTAGAGAATTTGTCAATTATTTTGGATCATTTGTATAAAAAATCATAGCATCAGTGAACAAGAATGGTTTTATTTCCTCATTTTCTATCTACCTATCCATTATTTGTTTTTATTTTCTTATTTTATTACTAGGACTTCCAATAAAATATTGAGTAAGAGAGGTGAGAATGGACTTGGCCTTATTCCTAATTGTAGTGGGAAATTATCTGATTTTCATCATTAATTATAATGTTAGCTTTTTTTATTAAAGATACTCTTTATCAAGCATAGGAAATTTCTCTATAGTTCTAGATTACTGAGAGTGTTAATCATGAATGAGTGCTGAATTTTTGTCAAATATTTTCTCTGAATCTACCGATAGGCTAGTATTACCTTGCTTCCTTAATTCTTAATATAATGGATGTCATTAATTGATTTTTGAACGTTCAATGAGCCTTCCATACCTGAAGAAATTACACTTGGTCATGGTATATAATTTTTCTATACATTGCTGAATTTCATTTGCTATTATTTGGCTGAGGATTTTAAAATGTATATTCAGGAAAGACATTGGTTTGTAGATTTCCTTTCTTATAATGCCTTTATCTAATTTTGGTATTTATCTAATTCGGATATGCTGGTCTCATTGAATGAGTTACAAAGTGTTTCCTCTGCCTCTCTTTTCTGGAAGAGATTACAAAGTTTGGTATCCTTTCTTAGTCAAATTATCTGAGCTCGATTATTTCTCTTTTGAAGATTATCAATTATCGATTTAATTTTTTAATAGCTATAGTAATGTTCCTACATCTATAGGGATATTTAGTCTTGGATTTGGTTTTGATTGGGTTTGTATCTTTCAAGGAATTAGTTCATTCATCTAAGTCATATTTGTGGGCATAGAGTTGTTCATTCTATTTCCTTACACTCATTTGATAATCTGGGATTAGTAGTGTTGACCCCTCTTTCCATTTTTTTTTTTTAAAGTTTTGAGGTTAGCTTGTTTAGAGATTTGACAATTTAATTGTTTTTAAATCAAACTTGGGTTTTGTTGATTTTCTCTATTATTTTTCTATTTTTAATTTAATTTTTGTGCTTTATTTGTATTATTTATTTTCTATTGATGCTTTGGGCTTAAATTACTCTTTCTCTAATTTCATAAGGGGGAAGCTTAGATTATTGATTTTAGATCTTTCTTCTTTCTAATATATATGCATTTACTGCTTTTAAATTGCCTCTAAGTTTGCTTTGGCTGCTTCCCCAAATTATTGAGAATTTATGTCACTATTTTCATTTAGTCAAAATATCTCCTTTAATTTTATCTTTGACTTCTTCTTTGGTCCATGTTTTATTTAACAGTATGATATTAGTCTCCAAATATTTGAGATTGTCCAGCTATTTTTCTGTTATTGACTTCTAGTTGAATTCCACTGTGGTCTGACAACATATTTGTTGTATTTATAGATTTTTTAACATTCTTAAGATTGTTTTGATTGACCAGAATGTGGTCTATCTTGCTAAATGTTCCGTGTGAGTTTCAAAAGAATGTGTTCCAACTGTTAATGGATGGAGTATTCTATAAACGTCAATTACATCAATTTCATTGATAATGATGTCAATTCAACTATATCCTTACTGATTTTTCTTTTTTATGTATCAATAACTAAAAGTGGAATGTTGAATTCTACAACTGTTATAATGAATTCATCTATTTCTTCTTGCAAAGTAGTAGGTTTATTTATTTTATTCTTAGTTTTATTTTGAGAGGGAGTCTCACTCTGTTGCCCAGGCTGGAGTATAGTGGCACAATCCTGGCTTGCTCCAACATCTGCCTCCTGGGTTCAAGCAATCCTCCTGCCTCAGCCTCCCAAGCAGCTGGGACTATAAGCGTGCCCCACCATAGCCAGCTAATTTTTGTATTTTTTTGTAGAGACAGGGTTTCCCCATGTTGACCAGGCTCGTCTTGAACCCCTGACTTCAGGTGATCTGCCCACCTTGTCCTCCCAAAATGCTGGGATTACAGGTATGAACCACCACGCCTGGCAGGTAGGTTTATAGTATTATCTTGTAATACTCTGATACACTTTGAGTTCGTTTTTGTGTTTGTGGTGGAATACTGGCTAACAGTTACTTTTGTCAATGCTGATACCCAACTTTTCTAGCATCAAATTTTTTCAAAAAGCAGTACTTTGCCTATTTAATTATGCTATTGTTTGAATATTTGTTCCCTCCAAAACTCACACGGAATTTGACTCCCCAGTGTGGCAGTATTGAGAGTTGGAGCATTTTTTTTTTTTTTTTTGGTGACATTGTCTCGCTCTGTCACCCAGGCTGGAGTGCAGTGGCGCGATCTCGTCTCACTACAAGCTCCGCCTCCCGGGTTCATGCCATTCTCCTGCCTCAGCCTCCGGAGTAGTTGGGACTACAGGCGCCCGCCACCACGCCCGGCTAATTTTTTGTATTTTTAGTAGAGACGGGGTTTCACCGTGGTCTAGATCTCTTGACCTCGTGATCCGCCCACCTCAGCTTTCCAAAGTGCTGGGATTACAGGCGTGAGCCACCACGCCCGGCCTTTTTTTTTTTTTTTGAGATGGAGTCTCACTCTGTCGCCAGGCTGGAGTGCAGTGGCGCAATCTCAGCTCACTGCAACCTCCACCTCCAGAGTTCAAGCAATTCTCCTGCCTCAGGCTCCAGAGTAGCTGGGACTACAGACGCACACCACGAAGCCCAGCTAGATTTTTTTTTTTTTTTTTTTGTATTTTTAGTAGAGATGCGGTTTCACTATGTTGGCCAGGATGGTCTCGATCTCTTGACCTCGTTATCCTCCTGCCTTGGCCTCCCAAAGTGCTGGGATTACAGGCGTGAGCCACTGTGCTCAGCCAAGAGTTGGAGTCTTTAAGAGGTGATTGAGTGTGAGGGCTTTGCCCTCGGGGATGGATTAACTCATTCATGGATTAATGATCTATAAGGTAATGGGTTGTTGAATTATTATGGAAGTTGACATGGTGGCTTTATAAGAAGAGAGAGAGAGGACCCTGAGCTAACACACTCAGCCCCCATGACATATGCTACTTCTGGACCCCCCATCAAGAAGGGCCTCACCAAATGTGGCACCTCAGCCATGGACTTCTTAGCCTCAATAACTGTAAGAAATAAATTTATTTTCTTTATAAATTATCCACTTTTAGGTATTCTGCTATAAGCAACCAAGAAAAAAATAAAAATTGTGTATCTTTACTGAAAAAAATATATAGCCAGATTTTCCATTAAACTTTATCAATATGTATATATTATGACAGAATTGCCAGCTAGCTTAGTTATTAAAATTTTGCATGAAGTCCTAATGTCTACTTTTAAATTTTTTTTTATTTTTTTAAGTTTTATAGTCATTTGCCTATACAATTATAGATACTGCTTTTTACCCTTAAATATAAAGTAGGCACTGAAAATTAGAATGGAAATATCATTCATTTCAATTTGGTTTTAAAAAGATACACTTTTTTTAACTTTATCTAACAGGATCCCAAAAACTCTTTTATCATGATTAATCCAAGTACAAGTTTCTTTTGATAGCTTTTCACAAAAAATTTGTTGTCATTTTATTTTATTGTTTGACAAGGTAAGAAAAGATGTGGTTGAGTTGTTCCACTGATACATTCTTGGTGGTAAGTAAACTCTCAAGGTGACAATTAACCTTTGGCATTTCTAATCATTCTTTTTTCCATCCTCAAACAACTCAACCATAAAATATGATGCACCTCAACATAAGTTCATTAACTAAAACAAATTACCAAGCGACTTTAGAAATTGAAGAACGAAGTGTTAGGAACAGCAACAGTCCCACCCTACTCCCTCCTTTACTCTGCTATAATTTGCCTGATACTCTATTAAAGCATATATTTATTTAAATTTAAAATTCCAGTAAGTTTCTTTCATATTTTTTAATACAAATAAGTGAATTTCAATGAGCAAAGGGTCACCATCAGTTTTTTATCCCTGTTCATAAATGTTCAAAATGTTTTGCATAACCTTATATCACCTGGTGTTTTTTATCATTGTTTGTTATCTTGCACATTTCTATTATGTTACTTCTTTGCTGATTTTATTACCAGTATTTTAATTTTATCCTTGTTTTGTGCTATTTTATAGATGAACATTCTTTTGTTTCCTGTTACCTATTTCCAAGTTATGAACTCATTCTCACTAGATTCCTTGTTGATATTTTTCTGATAGAATATGTTTATTTCCGGTTCTACAATATAAGACTAATGTTTAAATGCATCTTTCTTTCCTTCTCTTTCTTTCTCTCTCTCTCTCCCTCCCTCCCTCCCTCCTTTCCTCCCTTCCTTCCTTCCTTCCCTGCTTTCTTATTTTTTTTTTTTTTGATTTGGTGAGACGGGTCTTGCTTTGGTACCCAGGCTGGACTTCAACTCGTAGGCTCAAGTGATCCTCCCACTTCAGCCTTCACAATAACTGGTGCTACAGACACACACCACCACACCTGGCTTCTTGAATACATTGAATCTATTTATATTGATTAGTTTCAAATATGTATTTCTATATTATGGCCTGATGGACATAATAATAATATTACAAGGTATGCTAAAAATAAAAATGTGTTACAGAATTCCCATTTTATTATTTCTTTTTTTCTTTCTTTTTGACCTGATAACAGAAAAGAGCATCTTCTCAGATAGACAAAATCTCCTTTTATTCAGGCATGAATAAGAAAATATTTTTTAAAAAATAACTGTTCAATTTCCTTTTCCTTTTCAAGAGATAAATAATATGCTTTAGTAGTGATCCATCATTTTAGAATTACCTCTCTAGGAAAGGCAATTAATGTTCAAATCATGTGTTAATCTTGAACAATTATTAGTTTCTGTCAAAAGAGCTCTACTGAGAAAAATTCAAAAAGAATATTTAGTCCCAATGAATCAGGTTCCCTATTTTTCTTAGATCACTTTCTGTATTAAGTACAGACACCTACTGCTATGAAAAAAAACATGGTATATCTAAATCACGTTCTCTGTCAACTGCTACTTCTTTGATCTGAGTTTTACTGCCTTCTCTTGTTTTCCCTGGTTTGTTGGTTGGTTGTCCAATGAGAAAAGCTTACATTAAATGTCAAATGAATAATTTTCAAATTTAGAGGTAGAGAAACTGAGCTTCAGAGAAGGGACATGGATTATATTCTATTGTTCAGAGGCTACCAGGTTTGAATTAGACCTATCTTGGTTCAATTTTGTCACACATTATCAATGCAACAAAAAGCAAGGTTTCTTAAAAATCTCTGAGCATCAGTTTTCTTCATCTTTAAGATGAAGTTAATAAAATTTATTTTATTGTATTTCTGAAAGAAAAAATGCAAGATAATCCACATGGATAATTATGATGATGCCAGGCAGGATGTAAAAATAAGAAATATTTGCAGTTACAGGAGTGAGTATAATTTTAATGACTGCTTTTTCTGTGTTATTTTCTCTTCCATTCTTGGTCTTCAGCTAGCAGGCAGAGTAACTGTTATTGGAATGTGGGTCTCATTACAAAGACATCTTGCTGAATAGTCTCTGATGGAAAAAGACTTAACATCTTGACCACAATGTACAAATTCCTTCTTATAGAATGAGAATATTCAACGATGACAATTCACATTGTTTTCTTACCTTGAGATAAATAGACACCTGTATGAAAATGTGAAGTACTTACCTCATCTTGTTCCAAAAAGGCAACTAAGAAAAGAAAAGGAAAATTAAAAAGTAGTCCTAGCTAATGCAGTAAGACAAGAAAATAAAATAAAAGGTATACAGAGTCAAAAGGAAGAAATAAAACTATCTTTGCAGATAATATGATAATCTATGTAGAAAAGCCCAAAGAATTGACAAAAAAAAATTTAAAAACCTCCTTGAACCAATAAGTGATTATACTAGGTTGCACCATACAAGATTAATACACAAAAATCAATAATTTTCATAAACCAGAAACAAACAAGTAGAATTTGAAATTTAATACAAAATACTATTTTTGTTAGTGCTTCCCAGAACGAGAAATACTTTGGCATAAATATAATAAAATATGTAAAAGATCTATATGAGGAAAACTACAAACTTCTGATGAAATATGTCAAAGAAGGACTTAATATGTAGAGATATTTCATGTTCATGGGTAGGGAGACTCAATATTGTCAAGATGGAAGTTCTTCACAATTTGGCCTATAGATTCAATGCAATCTCAATAGAAATGTTATCAAGTTGGCCAGGCTTAGTGGCTTACACCTGTAATTCCAGCACTTTGGGAGGCCAAGGTGGGAGGATCACGAGGTCAAGAGATCGAGATCATCCTGGCCAACATGGTGAAACTCTGTCTCTACTAAAAATACAAAAATTAGCTGAGAGTGGTGGTGCACACCTGTAGTCCCAGCTACTCAGGAGGCTGAGGCAGAAGAATCGCTTGAACCTGGGAGGTAGAGGTTGCAGTGAGCCAAGATTGCACCACTGGACTCCAGCCTGGCAACAGGACGAGACTCTGTCTCAAAAAAAAAAAAAAGAAAAGTTACGAAATTATCTTGTGGATATTACCAAATTGATTCTGAAGTTTGAATGAAGAGTCTAAAAACATGGAACAACCATCACAATATTGAAGGAGAAGAAGAAAGTTGGAGGACTGACACAACCTGACTCTAAGACTTACTATAGCCAGTTGTAGTGGCTCACGTCTGTAATCCCAGCACTGTGGCAGGCCAAGGCGGGTGGATCACTTGAAGCCAGGACTTTGAGACCAGCCTGGTCAACATTGTGAAACCCCGTCTCTACTAAAAATACAAAAAAATTAACCAGGCAAGGTGGTGCCTGACTATAATGCCAGCTACTCGGGAGACTGAGGGATGAGAATTGCTTGAACTCAGGGAGCGGAGGTTTCAGTGAGCCGAGATCATGCCACTGCACTCCAGCCTGGGCAACAGTGGGAGACACTGTCTCAAAAACAAAACAAAATGAAACGACAACAAAAAACAACAATAAAAAGCTTACTATAAAGCTACAGTAATCAAAACTGTAGTATTGTTTTTTTTTTTAAAAAAAAAAAAAAAAGACAAATAAAAAAATCAAAAGAACAGAATAGCGGGCCCAGAAATTGACCCACATACATCTAGTCAACTGATCATTGATGAAAGAGCTAAGACAATACAATGTAGCAAAGGCAGTCTTTTTCAACAAATGCTGCTGGAACAGCATCCATATGCCAGAAGTACTTATGTACATCCATAGGCAAAACAATGAATCTTGACACAGACCTCACATCCTTTGCAAAAATTAACTTAAAATGCATCATACACTTGAGTGTTAAATGTGAAACTATGCAACTGGAAGATCAAACAGAGGAAAACCTAGATGACTTCGGGTATGTCAGTGATTTGATAGATATAACATCAAGGGCATGATCCATTAAAGTAATGATTAATAAGCTGAACTTTAGTACCAAGAGAATAACAGGACAAATAACAGACTTGGAGAAATATTCGTAAAAGATACATTTGATAAACAACTGTTATTCAAAATATACAAAGAACATTTAAAACAACAATAAGAAAACAAACAACCCAGTTAAAAAATAGGCCAAAGACTTTAACAGACATATCAGCAAAGAAGATATATAGGTGGCAAATAAGCCTATGAAAAGATGCTTCACATCATATGTCATCAGGGAAATGCAAATTAAAACAATGAGATAATATTGCATGCCTCTTTGAATGGTCAAATCCAGGACACTGAAAACAACAAATTCTGGTGAGGATGTAAAGCAATAATAACTCTTGTTTCACTGCTGGTATGAATGCAAATTGAAACATACATCACTTTATCATATGATCCAGCAATCGTGCTTCTTTGTATTTACTCAAGGGAGCTGAAAATGTATATTCACACAAAAGCCTGCACATAGATGTTTATAGAAGCTTTATTCAAAATTACCAACACTTAGAAGCAACCAAGAAGTCTATATAGGTGAACGAATAAATAAGCTGTGGTATAACCAGACAATGGACTATTATTTAGCACTAAAAGGAATTGCCTGTCAAGCAATTAAAAGACATGGAAGAAACATAAATGTATATTAGTAGTGAAAGAAACCAATCTGAAAAGGCTACATATTATATAATATGAGTCCAAATATATGACATTCATAAGAGGCAAACCATGGAGATGGAAAATATATCAGTGGTTGCCAGGAGTTGAGTGGTGGGAAGGATGAATATGTGTAGCACTGAGGATTTTTAGGGCATTGAAATTAGTTTGTATACTACTATAGCAGGTGGATATACATCATTATACATTTGTCTAAACCCATAAAATGTACAACACCACAGGTGATCCCTAATGTAAACTAATCAACTTTGGGGGATAATGATGTGTCATCGATTGTAATAAATGTACCACTCTGATGGAGGATGTTGAAATGGAGGCTATGCATTTGTGGGGGCAAGGAGTACACAGAATATCTCTTTACCTTCCTCTCAGTTTTGATGTGAATTTTAAAGTTCTCCAAAAATATAGTGTAAAAAATAAAGGTAAAAATATTTATTGTGACTGTCACTAACTTTCCAAATGTTTTTTTCATATTTTAGTAGAATTTTCCCCCTTTGTCCAGAAAGGAAAATTTATGTGGCTGAGAAGTACTTTATCAAGCAGTTGAATAACTAACCTTTAAGAGGTGCACCAAAGAGAAAAGCTGCCTATTTCATTTTATCCATTGGGTTAAAAAACAGTAAAAGTATAAAATGCAATATTAGTGATTTCTCACTTTTTTTAATATATAGGTAGGATTGGTATTCTTAGTTATGTTATGCCTAAGTTGGAAAATTGCCAAAGTATAGCTGAAGTCCCCAAGGCCAATGCAAGGAAGATAACAAGATAGTGACTCTTTTCTAGCCATCCAGCCAAAATCAATAGTGTTTTAGTGGAGCGTCCATGAGAAAACAACTTGTCATGCCAGCAGCTAAGCAATATGTGTCAATGGACAGAAACTACTGCTTAGAAGCGGCAGCCCAAGGAGATGACAATTGTAGGCATGATTCCTTTTTGCTGGTAGTTTCAGGTCATTGATGCACAGTGTAATCTCTAATTTAAAAAGTAACACACAATGGTGTTTTATTTTCAAAGTTAGAGCTCTTTTGGGTTCTCAATGTGACCAGAGCAAGGCCTAATATGTATATGTGTGCATATATATATATATATATATATATATATATATAGTATATATATATATATATATATATATATATATAGTGTATAGATATATATGTATGTGTGTGTGTGTGTATATACATGTGTATACACACACACTATGGTGCTTGGCTTTGTGGACAAAAGAAAAATGTACATTCAATTACTATTTTTCACATGATGTTGAATATCCATATGGTTTTTGCTGCTACATAAATTGGTAAGTTGATTTACGACCTGATAAAAGCAGCATAATGCAAAAATAAAAAGCATAGGTTCTGTATGCTGACTACTTGGGTTCAACTGCAGATTTCATCACTTTCTAGTTGTGTGGTCCATGCACAAGTCACTTAACCTTTCTGTGCCTCAGGTTCTTTTTACATAAAGGGGTAATAATATTGTTTATCTCGTAGTATTGTTATAAAGATTAAAAGAGATAATATTTCTTAAGCACTTAGATTAGTTTGTGGCTCATATGACACATACATCTTACAATCTACCAATTTAAACTGTACAATTTATTGTCTTTGAATACACTCACAGGGTTGTGCATCTCTCACCACTATCAATTTTGAAATTTTTAATTACCTAAAAAAGGAAACCTTGTACCACTTAGTCATAACCCTCAAGCCCCCATTCCTGGCCTTGACAGCCACTAAGCTACTTCCTGTCTCTATAGATTTGCTTATTCCAGACATTTCATATATATGGAATCATACAATATGCAGTCTTTTGTGACTGGCTTCTTTTAGAGGTTTCCACCAAATCCCACTCCCCCCAAAACTTAAAAAAATAAAAAAATTTTCCAGATTATTGATTTTAAAAATCACTTCTCAGCTAAGAAATGCATCTTTTTAATATACATGGTATTACATATACATATCACATTATATTTAAAATGTGTTTCATTACATTGTTATATTTAGTATACGCCAAAATAGAAAGCTGTCTTTAGATAATATATGAGACTTTTTAAAAGTCATCTTCCACAAATAATGCTTGCAAAAAGCCATGGAATTTTTGTTTATAGTGAAGTCATTAGCAGGCCCTCAATGAACTCATTTTAATTGTCATATTCAAAGGCAAGTAAGTGGCAGGATGTGACACCTCACCATCCTCTCCTCACTATTCTGAATGCCATTAGCATTGACCCCTGTAACCTTTCACTGCACAATCACTATTTGGCCACAGTATGTGATGGCATGCTCCCATATTTTGTTCTGAGATAAAGACAAGGAGAAAAATACACTGATTCCATATACTACGTCATATGCACCTTCAATGTAGAAGCTGGTTATTTATATAACTGATATCCATATAATGCCTATTAGAGAAATTTACATAAAATAAACCCCTATTTGGGCATTATTACTTTCTGGAGTATGTGAAGAAAATAATCATCAATGTTTACAAAGTTGACTGCCCCATATGGGTGCAAAATGTACAGTAGTCGCCTTGTCATTAGCTGTATTAATTTGCTAGGATAACCATAACAAAGTACCACAGACTCGGTGGTTTAAACAGAAGAAATGTATTTTCTCACAATTCTGGAGGCTGGATGATATGGTTTGGCTGTGTCTCTACACTCCCCATAAGCGCCATGTGTCGTGGGAGGCACCTGGTGGGAGGTAACTGAATCACAGGGGCAGTTTCCCCCATGCTTTCCCTGTGATAATGAATGAGTTCTCATGAGATCTGGTGGTTCTATGTGTCTCGCATTTCCCCTGCTGGCACTCATTCTCTCTTCTGCTGCCCTGTGAAGAGGTACCTTCTGCCATGATTGTAAGTTTCCTGAGTCCTTCCCAGCCACGCGGAACTGTGAGTCAATTAAACCTCTTTTCTTTATAAATTACCCAGTCTCAGGTATTTCCTTATAGCAATGTGAGAATGGACTAATACACTAGAAGTCTGAGATGAAAGTGTTTGCAAAGTTAGTTTCTTCCTAGGACCATAAGAGAAGGCTCTATTCCAGGCTTCCCTCCTTGACTCATAGATGGATGACTTCTCCCTTTGTCTTTACATTGTCTCATTTCTGCACATGTTTGTGTACAAGTTTCCCCTTCATCACAAACACAATCACGTTCTAAAGTACATTATTGTGGTTTATGTTGTGCTATGACCACAACATGTAAATTTTAAGGGAACAAAATTTAGCCCATGATATTATCTTAATCTGCTTAGACTGGATACAGTAAAGATTTTGCTAACTGTAAAGTAAACTGTAGTTTATCTGAAATAAATGCATGGCTCTGCTGTCATTTTCTGGCAATATGACCACAAGAAGGTTAAAAAACACCTTCCCATATCTTTATTCTCAAGAATGCAAGGAACCAATATTAATATTGATACAATATTAATTGTATAACTATATATTGCCTTCATCTTTTCATATTTTACAGTTCCTCTCTGTACATTTGTTTCTCTTCATAAAGCCCTATGCCTACATAGGGTAGTACTTATCATTTTCCTTTTACAGATGTGAAAACCAGCTCTGAACTGTCAATTGACTTGCCTAAGCTGACAGGGCAGTTCAGTGATTTCCCAATACCCTGGTTTGTTTTCTAATGACTACCATATACAATCTGATCAGTTGGTTATCAGCAGCTGCAGGAAGGGGAAATAAAAAGAGCAGGCTTGGTGGCTAATACATGTAATCCCAGCACCAGAGGCTAAAGTGGGTGGATCGCTTCAGCGCAGGAGTTCTAGACAAGTCTGGGCAACATGGCAAGACCTCATCACTATTATAAAACAAAAAACTCTCTTTTTCTTATTCTTAAACCCTCCTGAAATTGAACCATTGAATTTGTCTCTTTCCTTCCACAAGAAACAGGATATTAGAAGGTAAGTTGAAGAAAATCTATCTAAAGTTGTAAAATTGAGGTATAATTATATTATTCTCCTCTCCTCCTGAAGTTGTCTGGGACTGTGAATGTGGTAGCAGAATAATGGTCTCTCAAGTATTTCCTCACCCAAATTCCTGGAACATGATGCTACATGGCAAAAAAAAAAAATTAAGATATCATATACAGTAAAAATTTCTATTAGCTGACACAGAGAAAAATTATTCAGGGTTATCCAGGTGTGCCAAATATAATCACAAGACTCTTTAAAAGTGTAAGATGGAGGCAAAAGAGAAACCAGACTGATGTGATTTGAGAAGGACACAATCCACTGTTGTTGGCTTTGAAGACAGAGGAAGAGAGCTATGTGTAAAAGAATGCTGTCACCTTGATGGTGGATGTTGAGTCTCCAGAACTGAGAGAAAACAAACTTCTGTTGGTTAAGTACTCAGTTGGTGATATTTTGTTATGGCAACCTGAGTAGACTCAGACAGATTTCGGTACCAGAAGTGGGATCCTGCTGTACCAAACACCTAAAAATGTGAAGGTAGATATGGAACTGGCTGATGGGGAGGCTGAGAGAGTTTTTATGTGCTCACTAAAAACCAAAACAAAACCAACAAACAACAACAAAAGTAGTTTAGTTTCTCCCGATGGCTTACAGTAAAGTGCAAGAATAGAGAGAAGAATTGAAGAAGAAATTATTAAGCAAAAAGAATCCAGATTTTGAAGATTTGGAAATTTCTCCATGGCCTAGCCATATTTTTAAAATATTAGAAAAAAAACTTGTTATGAAGAAAACACTAAGGGTGTTGGCTGAATATTTAATAAAGAGGTCAGGGTACAACTCACTGACTGGATCAGCCATCTCAACTGAATCCATGAACAGAGATGGGATTATACAAGCAGAGACACTGCCAGTTTGAACTAAAGAGAACAGTAAAAGTGGGAAGGAATGAAGGAAGGCTATTGGATTTTGTGGATTCTGCAAGATAATATCACAGAACTATTCAACATTTACTATTCATCAATAAAAATAAAGAAAGGGCACGGTGGCTCACGCCTGTAATCCCAGCACTTTGGGAGGCCAAGGCGGGCGGATCATGAGGTCAGGAGATCGAAACCATCCTGGCTAACACTGTGAAACCCTGTCTCTACTAAAAAATACAAAAAATTAGCTGTGTGTGGTGACGGGAGCCTGTAGTCCCAGCTACCTGGGAGGCTGAGGCAGTAGAATGGTGTGAACCCGGGAGGTGGATCTTGCAGTGAGCCTAGATCACGCCACTGCACTCCAGCCTGAGTGACAGAGCGAGACTCTGTCTCAAAAAAAAAAAAAAAAGGAAAATAAAAAAAGAAAGTTGCCAAAAGTGATTCTCACAGGCCCAGAATATACCAGCCTAGGAGACGAGGCTGTCTTCACCTGTTTCAAAGGGCAGGACCAAAGCACCCAGCAGAGATCTATGTGGACAGGATCCTTGCAGAGTCAAGGGGGCACTGCCTGCTGAGCTGAAGTGAGGACAATCCCATAGAGTCATAAAGGTGACTCCAGAGGGCCTGGAATGTGAGCTATTGAACCAAAAAGGATTATTTGCAAGGCTTAAGATTTAATGGAATTGGCTTTGCTAGGTTTTACACTTGTTTGAGAACTGTTACCTCTTCCTTCTTAACTAAGTATCCAGTTTCATCGCTTTGAACTTCTACGTCCCTCAACACACTAGAACAGAATTCAGCAAAGTTCTTTACCACTTTATAACATGGATAGAGTTTTCTCTAATTTCTAATAATTTGTTCCTCCTTTTGGAATGAACTGTCATCAGAATTATCATTAATGTCCATTTTCCTACCAACAGTGTCTTTGAGGCAAAGTGGCCTTTTTCTAACATGCACCTCAAGACTCTATCAGCGTCTGCTCATCCCCAAGTTCCAAAGTAATGTCCATATTTTTAAGAATTTGTTACAGCAGCACCCCACTTCATGGTACCAAAATCTGCATTAGCCAGCTAGGACTGTCTTTACAAAATACTACAGACTGGGTGACTTCAACAACATAAATTTATTTTCTTACAGTTCTGGATGCTGGAATTCTGAAGTCAAAGTGTTGGCAGGTTTGGTTTCTCCTGAAGTCTTTATTTTTTGGCTTGCAGATAACCACCTTCTCTCTATGTCCTCACACAGCACTTTCTCTGTAGGCATGCAGTGCTGGTGTATCTTCCTCTTCTTACAAAGACATTAGTAATATTACATTACATTTCCACTCTTATTATCTCATTTAACCTTCATTACCTATTAAAAGGCCCTAACTCCAAATATAGCCACATTCAAGATGAGGGCTTCATCATATACATTTGGGGTGACACAATTCAGTCTACAACACCACAATCAACTTTGAAACATCAAGGATCTTGAAATAGACAAGTAAAGTGTGCCCTTAAGTAATAGCTGAATATGTTTTTTGCTGTACTCCCACACATTCTTTTTTTTTTTTTTTTTTTGAGACTGTCTTGCTCTGTCACAAGGCTGGAGGACAATGGTGTGATCTCAGCACACTACAATCTCTGCCTCCCAGGTTCAAGTGATTCCCCTGCTTCAGCCTCCCGAGTAGCTGGGACTACAGGCACGTACCACCATGCCTGGCTCATTTTTTGTATTTTAGTAGAGATGGAGTTTCGCCATGTTGGCCAGGATGGTGTCGATCTCCTGACCTTGTGATCCGCCTGCCTTGGCCTCCCAAAGTGCTGGGATTACAGGCGTGAGCCACTGCACCCAGCCTCCCAGACATTCTTTGTCATCCTTGAAGTTTAAGTCAAAATGTCACATTGTAAGTTTGTGCCTCTTAAGAGCAATTGTTTATTGACAACTTTAGTTCAAGTTAAGCTGTCATCCATTTGTACTTTTAGCCTCATACCCACCTGATTATATAGCACCTATCAAATGGAATACATTTTTGTCATCCTACTAATTCTGAAACAATTTGGTGAAAGAAAAGGGCCTTATTAACCCCCATTATTTCATGTGCTTAAGTAAGGTCATTACTATATATCCTAAAGTATATTTAAAGATATCTACATCTAAATTTTTTCACTCCTTCTTAAGGCTTCACATTTGTTCTAAAAACTGACAATTCTTTCTGAGACCTTGATGCACTAATTTTATCCTTTATCTTCAACATCACTTTATCACCTGACGTTTTTATCCCAGTATCTATGTGTTCAGGCTTTGGCAGGTTGTTAGGGGTCTCTGAAAGTTGTTGGAAGGAATCATAGTTTGGTAGGGGTGTATTTTGAAAAATTACTCTAAGGGTGTAAACTGAGGATTGAAGAGAGAAATTAACTAGGTATAATGGAGGAGGTGAGATAAACTAGGTGTAAGAAAGCAGCTAGAGACAGGTGCTATAGCTCAAGTGAGAAATGATGCATCAGCAATAGGAAGTGGTTTGGGAGATGTGGGTGAACAACTACATGGAACAAAAGCATGGTAGAAGAGGGGATTATAAAAAGAGAGGTCTACAATGAAAGGGCCAGGTGAGACGGCTCATGCCTGTAATCCCAGCATTTTGGGAGGCAGAGGTGGGCAGATCACTTGAGGTCAGGAGTTTGAGACCAGCCTGGCCAACATGGTGAAATCCTGTCTCTACTAAAAACACAAAAATTATCCAGGTGTGATGGCACTCGTACCTGCAATCCCAGCTACTCGGTAGGCTGAGGCAGGAGAATCTCTACAACCTGGGAGGCAGAGGTTGCAGTGAGCCAAGATCATGCCCATGCACTCCAGCCTGGGTGACAGACTGAGACTATGTCTCAAAAAAAAAAAAAAAAAAAAAAGGAAAGAAGGTCTACAATGAATTCTACATTGTCAGTAAAGTAAAAGAGGTAGGTTCTTTTATTATGTTATTAAAAACTGTCTAGCAACTGTCCTTCACCACTTTAAACATTTGACATATCTGGAGACTTTCTTTTTTTCTTGAAGTTTCCAAATATGATTACTCTGCTACCATCAATCATCAAGTGAGAGCTGATACATTAGAAAGGTAAACATTTTCCTTGCCTGTATTTGGATCTATGTAAATGATTTTTAAATTTTAAATTCTGGAATAGTAGTGACCTTACAGGAAAAAAAAAAAAAAAAAGCTCTCTTAAGACTTTTTGAGACCAAATTGAGCAAGCATTCAATTTGTATTTCTGTGTTTTCTGGGAAAGTGGCTTGATTTGAATTTTATAAAATGGTTGTCTATAATAATTCATAGGGTATCTGTAATAATTTTGATGTTGAAACACTTCATAAAACATGGTATATATAAGAAATGACATTTTAACAATTGGATGTTGTCCAGCATGATACTGTTTGATGAGGTCAGAATAAGTTAGTGTGGCTGATGTAAAATCTAATTTAAAAAAAAACTAACTTTTATTTTCTTTTTGGAAATAAAATATCTTTTACAGATAAAGGCCAAAGAGATCATATATCACAATTTAGAATTTTATAACGTTTTCTTTAGTTTTACTGTTATACCTGACAAGATGAGTAAATCAGTTTGTTCCAATAGCGACTTCAGTTCATTCTGCTATATTAAAACATCCTGGTTTAATAATTCTAACTACAGATACCAGGTTTAAAATGTCTATCTCAACTGCACTATTTTTTCATGAGTGCTCTTTTTTATGGGAGTATATCACACATAAATACGGAAGTATAAACAGTTAAAATAAATGTTTTCATGAAGCCATTTTTCTCATGTTAAATAGTTTTATACATTTTTAAAAATCCTGATCCTATGCATTCCAAATATAAACATAGGGCTTGTTGAGTAGAGCTAGCCAATTTGCAGAATTACCACTACAAAACTGTATTTAACATTCTTTAAGACACAGGTCCTCACCAGTAAAAGTTGGTAATTAGAAAAACAAAACAAAACAAAACAAAAATGACCACATGGAAATTGGTACAACTTGAAAAATAAATGGAATTACAAGTACCTATTTTTTTCTTCTATAGTGATGATTATGTCATCAGAAGTGTAGAATGCTGTCAAACAGGTCAAAATATAGCTCCAAAAATTTCTGTAGAATGGGGAAAATGCAGACATCTATCTTTAATGAACATAGCAATGGTGAAGAGAACCAAAATTGTGACATGCCTAGGGTTGCCAAGAGGGCATGCATGCTATTTTTACCTTCAAGCAAAATTTTCCCCTAAGTGTGTCCCAGAGTACCACAAAAAGAGGAGGGGTGGGGGAGTCGTGAGTCATACCAAAAGACCAGTGAGTGGAAAGTTCAACGATCCTTATGAAATCACATATGCCACATCAATGACACAATAATTCTGCTCTAAGCAAGCATTCTTGGTCTGTACCATATATTTACAATTGCGCAGTCATACAGTGCATGGTATCGTTGTGTGGCGTTCTGAAATGACCTAATTGGAACTGGAATTTTCTTCTGCTAGTATCCCTTACTACATGATTAATGATTTTATGATTTATTTATTTGTTTTTACTTATTTTATTTTTTTTTTTACTCTGGGTGACAGATCTCCTTTCTAGACTCCATAGTCCTCTAGTCCTGTCTGGTTATTGTAACTTATCCCACTGATATTCAAAGCTTAACCGTATTCATTTTAATACTGTATTTCAAAATTAGAGTAAAGCTTTTCTGCATTTCTCCTCTCGCAAAACCTAGACATCCATGAAGTGTTCTGAGCCTAAGGTGGTTTTCTCAACAATGGTATCCTAAAGAATTTATTATATTGTTATCTATGGTTACCATTCTTAAATAATTTGACTTGCAATACCTTACCTTAATTTTTTAATATTTCATTTTTTTGAATTGAATGTTTTGAATTTTTTTTAAATTTTAATCATGTACAAATTACTATCTTGCCATTGTTTTGATATATATTTTCCTGAGCTGACTAAAAAAAATTCTTGGAAATTTGTCTCCACTATGTGTTTTATCACTCACCTCATTTTTTATTACTTTAAGTGAATCACCTTATGTGATGAGGAATTGCAAAATTCCAAGTATTGTATCTCTCCTTGTTCCTTCATGTATTTATAAACTTTCAAAAAAAGATTGATAGTTACAATATAAATCTCTTAATAAAAGTCAAGTGGTAACATGAAAAGTATCATTTGCTGTATTGAATTCTGAAGACATAGAGAATAACATATACCCAAATGTGAGAGTTTTGTTAACGTTTAAAAATAATCTAATTCCCATAAGCAGAGGCATGTTTTAGAACCCACAGCAATAATTAAAATGTGGCTTCTAAAGCAATTGCCCTAAAAGCTGGTGAGTCAGGAACTGTATTATTACCCCAGTTGTTCCAAGGCTACATGAATCTTGAACTTTTTTCAGAGAGTGCTTTATTACTTAGATTTCAGTGCACTTTGCTTCAATTATTTCTGTTTATCTAGCGTCCATTGTTAAGAACTCAGCAGAGATTGTGCTTTCTCTCTCTATATATATTTTTCAATTAACTTAAGTATGTATTTACCATATATTTATGTGTGTATATGTATGTATATTTATTTATTTATTTATTTTACAATTGTAATTCCAAAATTTCAAAAAAAAAAAACACTGTTGGCCCAGTTTGTACTACATCTCATCCCATTTTTTTACAGAATTATCTCTGAGAAATTGAATCATTCATCTCATTTTCCACAGAGCATAGACACAGAATAACATATATAAAAACAGGATAGATATATCCAAAAATAGTTTGCGTATGGGGGGAAATGGGTGGGACTGGTGAGAAAAATTACTGACATCCATAAAAAAGTACTAGTAATTAAAAATTTAAAAGAAATCTTTCCTTTTACTTTCTTTTAGCTCTCTTGATATTATTTTTTTTACGATGTTCATAAAACGTCATGCTAACTCCCAAGTATAACCTTCCTTCTGTCTATTAAGCCAATCAAACACTCTCCATTACCCCAAATTGACAATCAATATTTTCTTCAATATTTGTTTAGAACCAGTCTTCTTATTGTTTCCCGTCTCAGTTATTTAGAACTCTTTGTTTTTACTCTTGCTACCATCCCACCCTGTCCACTAATCAGTCCATAGTTTTTATTTTTGGGTAAAAGTAATATTTACACTCTCAATGAAAGACTATAGATAACACTCGTGAGAAGAAAAGTTTACATATGAAAATATTCTTGCAAATTCTATTTATAGAAACATAAGAGACATGACTTTCTCTATTTCTTTCACAAAACTGAGCTAAAAAATCTAGATGTTGCCTAGAAAACAAACATGAAGATACTCTTAAAAACGGAGAGAAGACAAAGTGGCCAGGGAATTTGCAACTGAAGAAATAACAGAGCAGTGAGTTCCCTGGCTTTGGCCTTTGCCTCTTCTGTCCAAGTCGTAATACAGGAGAAGCCAGCAAACCAGAAGGCTGCCAAGGAAAGCTAGAGTAGACAGCCCAGTCCACATTCAACAGGCTGTAAAGACCCACCTGAACACTGCACAGGGATAGTGTCAGAGTAGGCTGGGGAGGAAGATGGGGCTTGCTTTCTCACCTAGCAGCAAGTGCTCCGTCATGCAGTGCTAGCAGAGGCCGTCTGAGGTTCGTAGATTTCAGACCCTCCTTGGAGGTTACAAGGTGTTCCTCTTTCCCCAGTGGGCTAATTTTAGGCCAGGTCTAGTGAAATGTCAAGATTTAACAAGTGTTATCCAGGACACCCTCTTCTTATAATGTCAGTGGGGGCCAAGCAGGGAAGAGTAATTGTTGCCTTTGCTTTCTTATCCATGGAAGTATTAGTGGAGACATAGTGGGGAGCCTGAACTCCTATTCCCACCGAGCAGTAAACAAGGATTTCCTCTCCCTCTCATGTGTCAACAAAAGTCAAAAGGCGAACCTAGAATTCCTCTCTTACATGACAGCAACTAGGCAGGACCCCTTTCTCCTCCAAAAATAGTGTCTGAACTTGCAGGTGAAACAGTATTTTAAGAAGATCCAGATTCTCATAATGTAACGCACAAAATGTCCAGAGTTCAATTAAGAGCCATTCATCTTACAAAGAAAAAGGAAGATCTCAACTTGAATGAGAAAAAGTAATCAACAGAGGCCAACATGGAGATGATACAGATGTTAGAAATATCTGACAAAAATTTTCAAGTAGGCAATGTAAAAATATATCAGTGAGAAGTTACAGACATATTTAAAACAAATTTAAAAATGTAAAGTCTCATCAAATCAGTAGGAAATATAAAGACACCGGTTAGAACTGAGAAATACAGCAGACAAAACATACCTCAATTCTGCCTCAACAACAAAATGGAAAGGATGGAGTTATCAGTAAAATTGAAGACGAAAAAATAGAAATTAACCATAGAGATATATTGATCAACATTAAGCAGAATTTTAGGAACATGTTTATTGTACAAGTATCTCACTTACATGCCATTGGAGTAAAAAAGAACTTAAAAAATAGTAGCTGAAAATATCACAAATTTAGCATAAAGACAAAAAAACATAGATTCAAAAATTTTAGTAAACTTCAAACATAAACTTCAATAAATCCATGCTAATAAACATTCACAGTTAAATGTGTGAAAACTGAAAAAAAAAAAAAATCTTGAAAGCTGGCAGAAAGAACTGATTCATTACCTATATAAGAACAATTCAAATGACAGATTTCTACAGAAACCACAGAAGCTACACTAAAACAGCATAACATTTTTCAACTGCTTCAAGAACTATCAGCCCAGAATTCCATATTAAGCAAAAATATTATTGAGGAATGAAGGGAAAACAAGACATTTTCAGGCCAAAGAAAACTAAGAGACTTTGCTGCTAGCAGACATTGTTACTGATCTTAGGGGAAAAAAATCACTCAGTTATTCTTCATTAATTATAATGTTACCTATAGATTTTGTAAATGTTCTTTACCACTTTGAGGCAGTTCATCTCTATTTCTATTTTCCTGAGAGTTTTTTTCATAAACAAGTATTGAATATTGTCAAAAGATATTTCCACATCAGTTGACACGACTAGATTTTTTTTTAATTTATCTGTTGATATTATGGAACACCTTGACTGATATTCAAATATTGAACCATATAATCACTTGTGGAAAAATATATATACATATAGGAACCTTTCTCAAACACAAGTAGATGTATATTAGTGGCATAAAAAAGTAGGGTTTTTGTTTTTTTTTCTCTAGAAAGATTAACAAGCAACAATTTGGGAAGTATAATTTTTTTTTCAAATTAAATGAGTAAGCATTTACTTACATAAAAAAGGTTAACTAAAAAGGGAGAATGAAGTTATTTTTTATATGTCTTCTCCACAATTAATTGACAATAGAGCATCTTTCAAGAGCTCAATTCTCAAGATATATTCTACCAAATCATTGTTACTAATAAAGTTAACAGATACACAGTGCCACTGGGCAAGTCATTATGAAATATATCTCTGCTACTATTCCCATGGAGATCCTAGATAAGGACAAATAACCAAACAAAAGAGTCCATAAATTTTGAAGCTTTTGTATAAAATAATTACCACAGTGCATTTAATACAGCTAAAGATACACTTCAGCTTAAATGATGATATTGATGTGTGTGATTATGGTTAAAAAGCAAAAACAGGCTGGGCGCAGTGGCTCACACCTGTAATCTCAGCACTTTGGGAGGCCGAGGCAGGCAGATTACAAGGTCAGAAGATCGAGACCATCCTAGCTAACACAGTGAAAACCTATCTGTACTAAAAATACAAAAAATTAGCCGGGCGTCGTGGCGGGCACCTGTAGTCCCAGCTACTCGGGAGGCTGAGGAAGGAGAATGGCGTGAACCCCGGAGGCGGAGCTTGCAGTGAACCGAGATTGCGCCACTGCACTCCAGCCTGGGCGACAGAGCGAGACTCCATCTCAAAAAAAAAAAAAAAAGCAAAAACAATGATTTGTATAGTAATCAGAAAGATAAAATATCTTGTTTTAAAAAATGCAATTTAACCTTGACAATTACAGATCAAAGCCAAAACTTCAGAATAAATAAATTTACAAAATTAATGCAAGGAGTGAATAGAAAACATGACTACATAGGGACTAAATCATTTTTCTTTCAATGCGTTTTCCAAATGTGGTATTGTACTATTGAAGTTGAATGGTTTAGAAAGATATATTTAAAGTAAACTAAAGTTATAAAAGACATTACCAGACTCATGAAGGTGCTGTATAAAGGTAAATATATAGATTTATACATATTAGGTAAAGCTCTAAATCTTAGTACCAAAGCACAAATACAAAATACTTTCCAAATTAAAATGGTTTTCAAGTTAATGACATGAAGAATATTGATCATATTACAAAGGCAGGAAATATAGGAATTATGAAGGAATCATGGAGCATGGGGAAATAAAAGTCATAAATTTAATAAAGATATGTGTAACTGTGTACTGTTCAAAAAATTAAATTTCTAGAGTTAATTAAAAAACCATAAATATAAACGAGGATTGTTCTGGAGAAACCAATAATTATGGCTAAAGAACAGGAAATATCCTATTGTCTCAATTGCCCATAGGTCCCCATATGTCTCTTCCTCAAACCTATCATCTTTTCTGAATTTATTATTATGGCATGAATGCTACAGAATGTACTTTCTCTGAACCTAGAATTATAAGAGGTTTATCTGGTGAGTCACAATGATGCTTAACAGGCAATAGGAACAAACTTAAATGCCATGCACAACATTCATAATCAAAGTTGATATACCATCAGGACATTTTCTAAGTCCAAAGTCACACCACCACTTTTATGCTGATCATGGCCTAAACTGGAAAGCCATGTTCATTACTAAACACATCCTCTGATACTGATAAGCTTGTAGTGTTCTGTAGAACCAGTTTAATAACATCAATAATATATGACTTTGGTCTAACCTGTCCCATAGTAATGAGAATAAATAATAATAATGAATAATGATAACAACTAAAATAATTCAGAAACAACAAAACCAACAATAAAGGGCACTTAACCGTGTCTCAGGAGCTACTCTAAGAACATTACAAATGTTATTTTATTTAATGCTTAGAATAACCCTACAGAATAGGTGTTATTCTTATCTAAATTTACAAAACAAATTGAGGTACAGTGGTAATCATGTGGGTAATCCCAACTGAATCAGAATTATCCATTTTTTTGTCTTTGAGTGAAGAATCAAGAACTTTTCATATGGAAAGTTCTCCTTGAATATTAAAGTAACCACACTTTCAAAGGTCTTGAGGTTTCGCACAACTTGGTAGAAAAACAGTTCCCAGGGAATAAATCTCTTAACTCCAGTGTGAGTGCAACTCTTAACCTGCTAGCCAAAGAGACAGCAAGTAGGAAGGGGAAACTGGTAAGTGTGATGCTAGAAAATCAGTGTAATTGACGTATATGGTCCTTCAGTAGCTTGCTAGAGTTCCAGCCAGGTCAAGGGCCCAGATAACATAAGTGGTATGTGAATTAATATTATTGATGGGTTACATATAGATAGTATGACCTTGGATAGTTCAGTGTCATCTAGCAATCTGAGTTTGGAGTTAAAAAGTAGCAGGTTATAGTTGAATAAATGATCACCAGTTCATCTTGAAGAAAGTTTCTGAGCATTTTCCCAAACTGCTGTTGCAAATATCAGTATTTTATTTCAGATTTTAGGTAAGTATCTAGCATCTCATAGAAGAGCAAGCCGTTGTGCCTAGCCCTAGAAGAGTCTGCAAATAGTAATAGTAGGCACCTCACAGCAGTCAGGCTCATCTTACATGGGGTTTAGAGTGCTTTGAGGCCCAGTCAATTTTTAAACAGTGGACTGCAAGCCCACAGAAAATTTAATGCTTTCTTCTTTTCTTCTACTATCAAATATTCAAACAAAATGGCCCTTTTTTAAAACTTGATGTTTTGTGTGTCCTAATACAAGCCTGTCTACAGAAAGGATGAGGAGGCCTGGGGCGGTAATTAATCCCAGCACTTTGGGAGGCCGAGGCGGGCAGACCATGAGGTCAAGAGATCGAGATAATCCTGGCCAACATGATGAAAACCCGTCTCTATTAAAAATACAAAAATTAGCTGGGCATGGTGGCATGCGCCTGTAGTCCCAGCTACTCTGGAGGCTGAGGCAAGAGAATCACCTGAACCCTGGAGGCGGAGGTTGCAGTGAGCCAAGATGACGCCACTGCACTCCAGCCTGGCAACAGAGTGGGACTCTGTCCAAAAAAAAAAAAAAAAAAAAAGATGAGATATCTCTGGCATAGGAAATTGTTGTTCTGGAGGCAGGAATAGTGTCTAAAGCACTGCTCTTTTCCTGGTATCTCACAACTCTCTTAGCTGAGCTGACACACCTGCAAATGGAAGGTCCTGTTAGACTTTAAAAAGATTTAATGGGGTGGTATCGTGAAACTCATCTCCAGTCCTTTCTTAATGACACCCATGAGTGCTAGATAAAATGATGCAGTGGCATTATGTAGCTAGGAGACTAGTCTTGAAGGGCCTAGGCTTGGCTTGCCAGACCCTAAGAAAGGGAAGACCCTACATAAAAATGGAACAAATCAGGGCCAAGATATGCAACATTATTGGCCTGGGTGTTTAAACTCAAGACATAATTTCCATTGATATGGCTATATATGTTGAAAGGCTCAGTGCTGCAAATCCTGAAAGAAAGAAAATAATATATTTATCACATCACATATAAAGTTATGATCTTCATTGAGCCAAGACAAAGACTGAATTCAATGCAACATGTAAATGACTTTGATCTCTGCATAAGGATATGTACAGTAGCCATTTCATAAGCTTACTTCTAAAGAGACATTGTCTAGCAGAGGTTCTTAACTTTTTGTTAATTTGTTTTACAGACTCTTTTAGCAGTCTGCTAAAACCTGTAGGCCTCTACTCAGAATAATGTTCTAAATCCTTCAAATAAAATACATATGATAATAGAGAAAAACAATTTTATTATAATGTATTATTATCTACATGTTAAGAGCATAAGCCTTCTAAATTAGCTCAGAAATGGGGAAAGAAATGAGGGTACTGCTAGTCTCAAAAGCGTTCATACATGATAGAATGCCAACCCAATATATTTAAAACTTATCCTATGGGTGAAGGTACCATGACTTAGGGGAAAAAATTAACTTAAAGAGCATAACTGTACTTTTATTTTGTTTGTTTAACGGAATATGAAAACTTGGTTTTAGCATAAAAAATCCATTATATCATTAAAGAATATTGTGGTTGCTTCAAGATTACAGCCTTAGAGATAAATTGTTGATAAGGAGAAAAATAAAGTGTTACATATTTTAGAGGAAAATACATATTTACATCAAAGCTAACTATTCATTTTAAATATACAAATTCCTGTATAGTGACCAAATATTTCTGTGACCTAAGATCATCATATCGTAATATAACAGACCTTTTTTGCAAAAGTGAATAGAAGTTATAAAACTCAATTTTTAAGCAATAAACTAAAGAGAAAATTTTGGCACCAGGATAGATTAAAGTTTTTGACTAAATGAATTTCCTTGCCAACAGGGCTTACAGTACTTCATAGAATCTATTTTCCTGACAGAATAAATCACTGCATGTGACAAAATGCAGTTCCTTAGAAAGGATTTAGCTTTCCCTCCCAAATCCATTCCCTTTGTAGAAATATATTTTGCAAGAGAGCAGCAGTTCCAAATCTCTGATTTTTTCTGAAGAGAAATGTATTTATACTCAGCAATATACGTGTTTACAAGTGGTAAAAAGTTAGCAAATAAATTGAGTAAGGTGAGAGGGATATCAATCTAAAAATGCAAGACTGTTTTTTCTTTGAATTTGTCTTTGGTGAAATTCAGAACTTCAAATATGAACCTTGAACTTGAATTCTCCCTCTCTCATTGAGTTCTGTATTAGGTTACAATTTTATTATTAGGTTGGCACAAAAGTAATGGCAAAAACCACAATTACCTTTGCACCAACCTAATAGTCGTGTCTTGTTTAGTGAAGACTCAGAGTGAATAAAGCATAAAGCAGAGAAGAGCACATAAGCAGCAGAAATAGTGGATGTTTCTCCTTACAGACTTTCTCAGTGTGAATTCATACATTGGGAGCCAACAAATAGTATATCTTACAGTATATAATAGTCATATACATGATAGGTGTATTTGGGGAGAGGCTGTATAACTTAAATCCTCTTTTCAGAGAGGTTTCTGACACAAAAAGTTAAAAATTAAAGTTCAAAAACACAGATTCACATATATGAGGGAAAAATGTGTGGAAAAGGAAAAGAAAATCTTCAAATATTGGCTGAGTATATATTATTTTAAGAATATTCATCTCTAATTATATAACATCAGTATAATGGAAATCTATATTTGATAATAGTGGTGCTTATGATATTCATGTGGTAGGATGTAAAGACACAAAACAGGTTATGATACAAAAACACAGCATTTTTGGTTGAACAATGTAATACAAATAGTATTGATTTTAAAACTGGACACTACAAGGAAATAAGGTTCCAACAGCAAGAAACGCTTCTGCTCTTGATACCTTAATGATGACTGGCTACAGAGCTACTGGGACCCCGTGCAAAACAAAAATGTCAGATCCCTTCTTCAAAAATCCTTGAGGATTTCAACACATAACAGCAGAGCAATGAACCAAATTCTGGCTCTCCTGAGCATGCAGGGTCCTGGCAAGTCTACAGGTTGCTTATACATGAAGCTGGCCCTCCTTTTACTTTTCAGAACCTTTGAAAGACTATATAAAGATGGAAAAAAAAATGCCACAGAGAAAATTAAAAAAAAAAAAAGAATTGAAGCCTCAATGTTGTCAACAAACCTGTTAAAGTTTGCATGTTTGCTCAGTTAGAGTTAGTTTTTCTCTTTTCCTCAGGGATGTTTTGTCTCTTCACATACTCTTCCAACAACCATTTATTGATCACGCATATGCACGGCAAGACGAAATATTGCAGAGATTACAAAGAATGGGATGGGCAGTGTCTGTCTTCATGGAGCCTTGAGTTTCTCTCTCTTCTCAGCATTCATAACCACATGTCCTACGCTGACTCTCAGAAGACAGCTCCAAGTCATATGTCCCAGAAAAGTAATAGAAGATACCTTTCTTTATTTTCCTTATTTATTTATTTTATTTTTTATTTCAATAGATTTTTGGGGAACAGATGATGTTTGGTTACAAGAATAAGTTCTTTAGCGGTGATTCTTGAGATTCTGGTGTACTCATCAGCTGAGCAGTGTACACTGTACCTAATGTGTAGTCTTTTATCCCTCGCCACTCCCACCAGTCCCCAAAGTCCAATGTATCATTCTTATGCCTTTGCTTCTTCATAGCTTAGCTCCCACATATGACTGAGAAGATACGATCTTTGCTTATCTATTCCTGAGTTACTTCACTTAGAAAAATAGTCTTCAATTCCATCCAGGTTGCTGCAAATGCCATTATTTCGTTCCTTTTTATGGCTGAGTAGTATTTCATGGAGTATATCATGATATATATATATATATATATATACACACACACACACATATACACATATATCTATATATACATATACATATATACATATACATATATATCTATATATACATATACATATCTATATCTATATCTGTATCTATATCTATATACACACACACATACACACACCACATCTTCTTTATCTACTTGTTGATTGATGGGGATTTGGGCTGGTTCCATATTTTTGCAATTGCAAATCATGCTGCTATAAACGTGCAAGTACAAATATCTTTTTAATACAATGTCTTACTTTCTTCTGGACAGATACCCAGTAGTGGGATTGCAGGATCAAATGGTAGTATTGCTTTTACTTCTCTAAGGAATCTCCACACTGCTTTCCATGGTGGTTGTACTGGTTTACATTCCTACCCCAGCAGTGTAGAAGTGTTCCCTTTCCACTCCATCCATGCTAACATCTATTTTTTTTATTGTTTTTTTATGGCCATCCTTGCAGGAGTGAGGTGGTATCACATTGTGGTTTTGATTTGCATATCCCTGATCATTAGTGATGTTAAGCAGTTTTTCATATGCTTGTTGGCCATTTGTATATCTTCTTCTGAGAATTGTCTATTCATGTCCTTAGCCCACTTTTTGATGGGATTGTTTGTTTTTTTTCTTGCTGATTTATTTAAGTTCCTTGTAGATTCTGGATATTAGTCCTTTGTCAGATGCCTAGACTTCCAAGACTTTTTTTTTTTTTTGATAAAGAGTCTCGTTCTGACACCCAGCCTGGAGTGCAGTAGCATTATCTCGGCTCACTGCAACCTCCGCCTTTCAGGTTCAAGTGATTCTTGTGCCTCAGACTCCGGAGAAGCTGAGATTATAGGCATGTGCCACCACACTTGGTTAAGTTATGTATTTTTGGTAGAGATGGGGTTTCACAATATTGTCCAGGCTGGTCTCGAACTCCTGGGCTCAAATGATCCACCTTGGCCTCCCAAAGTGCTGGGATTACAGGCATGAACTACCGCACCTGGGTGATAGCTTCATTCTTATACAACAACCTGCCTTTCTACCTACAATCTGACCTCCACAACATGTCTCTCTGTTCCTTGTATCTTACCAAGTGGGTAGTGTCTGACCATCACCCTGTTATTGACCAGTCACTGTGTCTGAGCATCTTGTTCTCCTCACAGATTTTGCTGCGCCACATAGTTCTCTCTTCCTTTTCTATTTCCCACTAGCCATTTAAACAGATTCACATTATTATTGTTTAAAAATTAAGACTTAAAGCATATAATCAAAATAGACATTCCCTGTTTCTTCACAGTCTGGTCACAACTGGTAATCCTGAAAATGTGTATGTCTATGTTGGAATAAGAAGAGAAAGAAATATTACAGGTAGGAGAAGTGAAGACAGTTAAATTAGCAACTAAATCCTCACGTACAACTCAGTGTTTCCAACTGTTTACAGCATTTGCCTCAATACTTCTAAAATGAGACTATTTCATGTTTTATCAATTCAAATGGAGCACTGAGTTCCTGTAACAGCTTCTCCTCCCTAAAAAATACAACATCCTCGCTCTCAACATTTCTTATGAAGATAACAATGTCTGACTAATATAATAATCAATTTATATGATTATAACCATGTAAGTTTAAGTCTAAAGCTAAGTCTGTGTTTCCTTATACAAATGTTTATTTTAGTTAACATTAATGCTTTCTTGTATTTAATTTCTTAGTTTTATTTATGCTTCTATTTTGTTATTTTAGGTATTATAATTAAAAATAATTGAGCTAATATTTTATCTCTAAAACTTCACATATTATTTACTACAACTTTACCTTTAATATGTGGTGTTTGAAAATATAACATTTGCTTCTATTTTATTCTTCTCTTTCCAGCACCTCATTATATTATTTTCTTGTTTATTTTTCCTTCACTGAGTGGTATATAATACAAAGATATCTCATATAAATGGAAAACTACATTAATATTAAAGTGGTTTGATTACACAAATACAAAACCCAAACATACTTTGTCATCTGAATATGTACAAGTATGTAGAGAGCTTTGTTTAAAATGTTGAACATTTGCTTTATGAGTTAGTATAACATCATCATCCTACTTGTCTTCATCTTCATAGGCATCAAAATCATTAAACATCTATTGTGCCCAGGGTTGTGGCAATATTTATACAAACAGCATTATATTTTAACCAGTCTTGTTCCCTAGGAGAAGTTAACAGATGAGCACCTATTTTAATAACAAATTAAATATGATTTTTATTTGGGATTAATTACCCCTGCAAAGGCAATTAAACAGAATGTTTGTTACATCTTTGAGATCACTTAATGATGTCAGTATTCCCATATTTATACTTCTCTCTGATTTTCCAGAAACCATTAATAACCATTCATGGATATGAAATAACAGTAAACAATCTTAAACCATAGAACATATCTTCATGTTTTAGTAGCAAAGATGTTTATTTTAGACTTACATCTATATCAGTGGAGTATAAGAGAGATGAGTCACTATAAGCAATAGTGAATTGTGTGGAAAATTAATTTGATAAAACCAATAGCCTTTTTCTCTACAGAAAATAGTGTGTGTGTGTGCATGCATGTGCATGTGCATGTGTGTGTGTGTGCGCGTGCGTGTGTGTACACATGTGCATGTGCGTGTGTGTGTGTGCACGCGTGCGTGTGTGTGTGTGTGTGTGTGTGTATTTTTCTTGATAAATATCCAGCCTTTCTTTTGGACTACCTGGAAAACTACAGATGGGAAAGATAGAGTTCAGAATATTCAGGAGTTGCAACATTTTACACTTTTCTGCAGTAGCTATAATCTTTCTTCAGTAGCTTTGGGGTGATAGAATTCAGTAATTCTATTCCAAAAACCATTTAGTTGGGAATCTCAGAATGTATAAAAGTTTAGTATTAGCCCAGGCTTACAAATGTGCAATTTTAAATTATTGGCTTCTGCATACTATGGACACATTACCAAAAGACATTTGAAAGAATTATATCACATAAACATATATTGTTGGGCATATCTATTATTCATGATTGTGCTTTGGAAACCAGATACGTGAGATTCAAAAGTAATCATGCCAAACTATCTGTGCCTTTATGTTCTTGTATTAGTTAGGAGATGATATAAAAAAAACATATCTTCAAGCCACCTACTTTTTTTCTCAAGAGGAAATGTAGCCTCTATGCAGCCCTTTGGCTATTTTATCCTACTATTAGCTATCTATTTTCTTCTACCCTACACATACAACAGATAAAATATGCATTTCTATATTAAGATATTTAATTTTTTCTTTCAAATCTGAATTTTAGTTTTAACAGCAATGCTTATTTTTAAGGGTCTCCTGTATATTAGAACCTACAAAATAAATTTCTGCATGAGTATAGCTCTAAGGATTTGAAGTGTCTTTAGAAGATTGTATAGTCTCTCTAATAGCAGAAAATAACAACTATGTAATGGAGTACACATAGTTTTTTAAATCTAGGATTCTATTGCGTCTGGCTTTGAATCTAAAGATCACTTGAAGGACTACTAATTGTTTAATGCATCATTGTTAAAGTTAAAAATATTCACATACATGTTTAGTAAATGAATGAGATAATTATTTTAAACTGTTGGAACAGATTCATATAAATTAACTGATTCAAAAGATGTATTAACTGCTATTTTGAGTATATATTAGCATGGAAAACTTTGGAAAGATTGAGCAAAGTTCTTAATTTGTCTCTGCTTTCCCTTTTCCTGTGGTGTATGCAAGACAGTACACACTAAATCTCCCATATTCTTCAATCTGATGTCCCCAAATTACCTAGTTTCCTGCTGATCTAATAAACACAGTGGACTTTGCTTCATTTCAGAATGCAGCTCAAACTAGCTTGCTCAATTCACACATTGTATGTGTGAACAATATGTATGTATGTGCTTGAACAAAGCAAAGGAAAGCAAATAACCTCTTTAGTGCTATCAACAATTCATCAACACAGTTTCATTGTTGTCTACAACTTGCCTCCTTCAGATACCCAAGTACTATTCTCAATTTTAAGAGTGTTTTGCAGGGCTCAGTGGCTCACACTTGTAATCCCAGCACTTTGGAAATCCAAGGTGGGTGGATCACCTCAGGTCAGGAGTTCGAGACCAGCCTGGCCAACATGGTAAAACTCCGTCTCTGCTAAAAATACAAAAATTTGCCAAGCATGGTAGCCAGCGCCTATAATCCCAGCTACTTAGGAGGCTGAGACCAGAGAATCACTTGAACCCGGGAGGCAGAGGCTGCAGTGAGCCGAGGTGGTGCCACTTCACTCCAGCCTGGGCAACAAGAGGGAAACTCTATATACAAAATAATAATAATAATAAAGGCTGGATGCAGTGGCTCACGCCTGTAATCCCAGCACTTTGGGAGACCAAGGCGGGCAGATCACGAGGTCAGGAGATTGAAACCATCCTGGCTAACACAGTGAAACCCTGTCTTTACTAAAAATACAAACAATTAGCCGGGCATGGTGGTGGGCGCCTGTAGTCCCAGCTACTCGGGAGGCTGAAGCAGGAGAATTGTTTGAACCTGGGAGGTGGAGGTTGCAGTGAGCTGAGATCGCACCACTGCACTCCAGCCTGGGTGACAGAGCGAGACTGCATCTCAAAAAAAGTGTTTTTGTTTTTGTTTTTGTTTTTGTTTTTTGCATTTAATCTTGAAACTACTGTTATCATTCCTGTTTTCAAATGAGAAAACCAAGACATACTGACTGAGGTAAATTTTCTAAGGCATGAAGCTAATAGCCACACAGAATGGTGGCAGAGTTCATAGCATTAAACACTGCACTGTGTTATCTCTGCAGTTTCCTGCATTCTCAGTTAAAAAAATAACTGCCACTTTGGAAGTTATTTCTGCTCTTTTGGTTGTCAGCACTCAATTTTTACAATATCCTTAACTGTATTTTTTCTTCTAAATTGAATGTATTTAGTAATAATTGCACACAGCAACCATCGTTTGATAAAGTTGCTTCAACTTGTGACAATTTCTCTCCTCTGTCTTACTGTTGTCAACAACAGGTGTTGTACAATAGAATGTCCTACAGTGATGGAAATAGTCTATATCTGCACTGATTGGTACAGTAGCCACTGATAAACTCCATGACGCTATTGAGCCTCATGGCTAAGTGAAAATAACTTGAAATCTGGCTATGCGTGACTGATGAAACAAACTTTTAATTTAATGTTTTAAAATTTTAGTTTACTCAAATAGCGAAATTGTCTAGTGACTTCCAATTGGACAGCACACGTCTTGAACTTTACTTTTATCTTCTTTAAAGTAAAAAAATAAATAAATAAATAAAGTTAAATTTAATACCCATATACTTACTGAATAGTCGATAGTTAAGTAGATTACCTAGTATACAGATATTTCCCAACATAGCAATAATATTTTATAGTCCATGCATCCCTCTGGCTCAGTTTTCTTCTTGCTGTTGAGACGAGAGTGAACAACAAATCAACAAAATATATTTTAATAAGAAAAATGCATTAGGTTTTGGAAAATGTTAAGTGCTAAAGAGAAAAGTAAAACAGGATGTGAGCTAGGTAGGGTGGGGTTATAAAAATGCATTTGGTAGTCTGGCTGCACAAAATTAGGTTTCCCTAACAAATGATCCCAAAATCTGAGTGCCCCAGTAGTGCTAAATTTATTTCTCACTCATACTATGCATTTAGTACCAGTTGGATATTTGGTTCTGTTCATTTTAATCCATCAGGGAACCAGCCTAGTGGAGTTTCCTCTTGACTCGTGTTTCTATAATTACCCTAGCAGTAGAAAATGAGAGCGAGCACAAGAACAAAAGTGAGAGCAAGACAAATAGCCCCTCAACTCTTAAGTCATTTGCATGGAAGTAATACTTAGTATATCCATTCACATTTCATCAACTCAAGCAAATCTCATGGTCAAACATTAACTAAAAGGGTCAGGAAATTTTAGGAACCTTCTTAGTCTATTTTTCTTATTAATAAATGCACTTATTTTTTTTCCTAAGCCAGGCAAAACAAATGCACAAGAGAAGAAACTTTAATTACATTCATGGGGATGACTTTATTATGAAGACTTTATCAAATGGCAATGGGTGACCTATGTTTTGAAGCATGAGAGTGATTTATCATGTAACAAAAGAACGGTTTAATTTATTATCTCTAGAATGTGTATTGTATGTGGTAGGTATAGGAAACTGAGTTTAAATAGAAGTAATCAGAAATATATATGTAAAAAAAGAACTTTTTTTTCTTTCAGAAATTACACTGTGGTGACTCTTGAATTAATAGAGACAACTCTTATCTCATGGACCAGTTGGTAAGTCAGGCAATGTCTGTGTCGTGATAGAAAGTCTTATGTCATCGCTGAAGAAATTTACAAGCCTTCCCCCTTTCCATGGGACTTAATATCCATTTAAACTAATATTTTTCACTGAAATGAATAAGTCATTGACCACGCAGAGGGTCATTGAGTTACATACCTCACAGTTGTCCATTTACCACCATGTGTTCTATCAGATAAATGAGACAAAATACTTTCCGCTGAACTCCTGGTGAGTTTAACAGAAAGTACATTAATTGAATGACTAACATTATGTAACTTCATTAAATGGCAACAGTAATTATATGGCTTTTAATTTAAAGGACAGGCACTAATGAATAATATAATGAGGTACAAATGACCACATACTAATTCTGTATTTTTTAAATAACTAGAGATATGTGCTGTGTTGTCAAGTGCAGAACATATTTAAAGAATTACTAAGTTATTGCTGTAAAAGAAAAACAACAAAAAGCTTTGAACCTTTTCCTTATACTTTGAACTTAGACTGTTGATGACTTCAGTTCACTTTTTCTCTTATATTTTATCCTCATTTGTGTACTTGGTAAAAAGAAGCAATGAAGAACAAGGAGAAAAAAAATACACTCTATTAGGAAAAAACATAATCTGCACTGTTTCTTCTTCTCATCCTGATTTGTCTGACATATTGACCACTGAAATTACAATGTTGATTTCTCTTTTCCTGACTGTCATTTATTACTCAGTAACCCTTAGTGTCTCATACCCATACTGTTGTAGGACTTTCCTCCTTAGTTCAGCTGAAAGCTGGGTCCTTGTCACACGGCCATAAAAAATTAGGCTCACAGATGATTTGAAGGGGGAGAAAAATGGAATTCATTGGGCAAAATGGAAAAAAAAAAAAAAAAAGGAAACAGGGACTCTCTGCAAGACCAGAGTTCTGCTAGTGTGCTTCCCACCTTGCAGATGGAATCTCAGGTCCCACTTAGGAAGAGGAGGGGCCAGGCTCTTCCCCACTGCAAACAGCATGAACTTCTGTGGCTCCACCCCAGTGCTCACTCCTCCCAGTGAGCAGGCTGGCTGGTTGGAGTTTCTTTGGGGACCCCTTCCCACCTGGCTGTCTCAATACTTGCCAGGGTCCATGTGTTTACTTCTCTTCCCTGTGTCCTCTCTCAGGAATAAATCCACAGCCATAATTTCCAAGTTAGTGTGCAATGAAGTCAATGTGCTTCCTTTCCTAGTATAAACTGAACTTTCATAACATCTGTAATGGATACATTGTGACTGTTAATAGATTTTCAGTCTATACTGATCAGGAACTTTAAAAGATTGATGGAAAGTAGAAGAATCTTTCTGGAACTTGTGTATACATCCCATGTAATGATAAAATACAATTGGCCAGGCAGGCTGGCTCACGCCTATAATCCTAGCACTTTGGGAGGCCGAGGTGGGCAGATCACGAGGTCAGGAGACCGAGACCATCCTGGCCAACATGGTGAAACCCCTTCTCTACTAAAATACAAAAAATCTGCTGGGTGTGGCGGTGTGCACCTGTAATCCCAGCTACTAGGGAGGCTGAGGCAGGGGAATTGCTCAAACCCGGAAGCAGAGATTGCAGTGAGCTGAGATCATGCCACTGCACTCCAGCCGGGCAACAGAAGGAGACTCCATCTCTAAATAAATAAATAAATAAATAAATAAATAAATAAATAAATATTATAACGATTATTTGTATCGGGCTGTTATAACCTGGAAGAATTCCACTGTCTGAGTAACAGATAACTGAGGAAATGTATGGGATATCCCACTTCAAATACAGGTGATAATATACGCCCCCAAATTACCACTTAAATTGTCCCCACACTTCAGAAATGATAATGGGAAAAAGACAGAAAGGGAGAAAGATGATGGGAAAAAGACAGAAAACAAGGCTATTTTCCTAATTTAATCATCATTACTGAAAGACCAAATTTCGAAATTGATATTTTCACCCAGTTGCTCCACTGAGGTTGCTCTAGGAGTATTTCCTCCTTTACAATTCTGACACACTTGTAAAAGTGAACAAGTAAGAGTTTAGGAGAAATGTTTCTTCTACACACCTCATTATTGTTTTAAGTGAAAATAGTCAACACATGCTAAGTGGTAGTATTATTCAAATGCTAAACAGATTATATTCCCTCAATGAAGTTATGACCTGAGGCAGGAGGAGCAAAACAAGAGACTATTTTCTTACTAAGTTAAATTCTAAAATTATTTTTGGGTATCAGGGAAGTAGAACACCATATTCACCACCCCCCCAAAAAAAAGTGATTAAGGAATGGTTTACCAATGAGGAGATATTTGAGCTGATTTTTCAGCAATAAAATTCAGCAGACCGACAAGCAGAGAATAGAAGAGATTTGTGCCAAGGGTAATGTGAAATGTCACAGAGGTGAAAATGGTCAAGTTTGTTAAATGTAATTGGCTCATTGTAGCTGAATAATGTGTGGTACACAATAGTGGAAAGCAATGGTGAAATAGTTGGAATATATTACAAATGAATGCCAGTAAATACCATATATCATGAACATATATTTTAAATTTCACATCAATAAATATCTTAAATAACATGTCAAAGAATGCCACATTTAGGTAACCTTTGTGTGGCAGAGTCTAGAGAGTTCTATTAAGAATAAGCAATTTAAAAATGCATGGTAAGCATAACCTTTGGCAGAACTGTTGAAGACAAATTTGAGTAATAAGGCAAAGGTCTAGACAGACCAGTCAATAAAGGACTGAAATTCTTTATTTAGCACTACATATTGAAAAGGACAGAAAATATTCAGCATAATTTGTTTCAGAAGGGTATAGAATGTTTGGTAGTTGTGGGAAAGAAGACGTGACTAAAATAATTTGAAATGACCAATAAAAAATATGAAGTATAAACTTTGGCTAAATTTAAAATACAATTGTATAAGAATTAAACAATTTTTATCAAGAGAAAACATACCAGTATAAATAATTGTTATATTTATATTGGTAATATTTTATTACATGAAATTTATTGCAATTGAAAAACAATCCTAGCAAAAAAGAGCAAATGAAGATGAAAACAAGCAGAAGAGAAGAAATAAAAATTAAGACAGAAACAAGAAAAAATAGAGAATATAAAGAAACTAAAATATGTTTTCTTAAAAAGATAAAATTGATAAATCTGTAGCAAATCTAATCAACATAAAAGAGTAAAGATACAAACTACAAACAAGAAATGAAAAGAGTCATCACTACTTGATCCTGCAGACATTAAAATAATGATAAAGGAACACTAATATATGTCCAAAATTTGGTATCTTAAATGAAATAGATCAATTTATTTAAAGAGAAACTGCTAAACTTCACGTAAGAAGAAAAAGAAAACATGGATATCCTTGTACACATTTTAAAAATTGAATCAATAATTAATATCCTCCCATAAAAGACAGGACTAGGCTCTGATTGTGGAGTCTTTAGAGATTTCTACATACAGAATTATATAATCAGCAATGAGAGGTAATTTGACTTATTTCGTTTTTTGGATGCTGACATGGTTTGGCTGTGTCCCCACCCAAATCTCATCTTGAATTGTAGCTCCCATAATTCCTCCCATGTTATGGGAGGGAGCTAGTGGGAGACAATTGAATCATGGGCGCAGGTTCTCCCATATTGCTCTTCTGTTAGTGAATAAGACTCACGAGATCTGATGGTTTGATAAGGTGAAGCCCCTTTTGCTTGGTTCTCTCATTCTCTCTTGTCTGCTGCCATGTAAGATGTCCCTTTTGCCTTCTGTCATGAGTGTGATGCTTCCTCAGCCACGTGGAACTGCGAGTCCATTAAATCTCTTTTTCTTTATAAATTAACCAGTCTCAGGTATGTCTTTACCAGCAATGTGAAAATGGACTAATACAGAAGCCTTTTTTTTCTTTCTCTTGCCTGACTGCTCTGGATAGGACTTTTAGTACTATGTTGACTAGGAGTGGTGAGAGAGGGCATACTTGTATGTTCCTGTTCTTAAAGGGAATACTTCCAGCTTCTGCCATTCAGTATGATGTTGACTGTGGGTTTGTCATAGATTTTTTCTTTTTGGGAGTGGGGGACAAGGTCTTGCTCAGTTGCCCAGACTGAAGTGCAGTGGTGCAAATCATAGCATACTGTAACCTCAAACTCCTGGACTCAAGTCATCCTCCCACTTTGGCTTCCCAAAGTACAGAGATTACAGGCATAAGCAATTAAGCCTGGCACTACAATATTTCATATCAAAAATTTTTGAGAATCATTTTATAGTTTTGTTTTTTCAGTTTAACTATAATTGCCTTAACAGCTTCCATTTAAAAAATCAGTTTAACATATTAGTAGATATCAAGAATTATATATTTATTGGCTATTACAGATCAGGGCTGTTTTTAGTAAAGGAATTAAGTCACTGAAGCTCTTATTACAGTAATCTGGTACATGCATATGTTATTATAGTATGTATGTCCATTTTTGTTTCATTTAAGCTGACATGTCAAATAAAATGCCATGAGTTACATTTCTCTATTTAAATTTAAATGATAAAATCAATTAATGTAATTTAACTTAAAATTTAGTCTCTCAGTATCTCCAAGCCACTTTCCAAATTCTCCATTGCCATGGATGGCTATAAGCTATCATATTAAACATCATAGTTATAGAACATTCCATGACTATAGAAAGTTCTATTAGACAATGCTGATCTAGAGCTTCTCATCCAAAAGAGGACAAAGCACTATTTAAACCTTAATTCTCTCTTGGTTTAGTGAAGTCCTCTCTGGCATTTCTGATTCTATCGTGTTAAAAATACATTTCTCAGCAACATTACTTACACATATACATACTCAGTTTATTTTTATCTTATGGAGGAGACATATCAATCTAGGAAATAAATCTAGCAAATTAATTCTCAGAAAGGGGGATAGAAAGTTAAAACATTTTTTTCTAAAAGCTTTGATTCATATATTCACTATAAACATAAGGGGTAAAAGGAGGCTCAAAAATTGAACTTTTTAATTCTGTTGTTATGACCTCTCAGATGTCATATTCTTAATACTCTTTCCTTTTTTTTTTTTTTTTTTTTTTTAGACTGAGTCTCGCTCTGTCGCCCAGGCTAGAGTGCAGTGGCGCGATCTCGGCTCACTGCAAGCTCCGCCTCCCGAGTTCACGCCATTCTCCTGCCTCAGTCTCCCGAGTGCTGGGAGTACAGGTGCCCGCCACACGCCCAGCTAATTTTTTTGTATTTTTAGTAGAGACGGGGTTTCACCGTGTTAGCCAGGATGGTCTCCATCTCCTGACCTCGTGATCCGCCCGCCTCGGCCTCCCAAAGTGCTGGGATTACAGGCTTGATCCACTGCGCCCGGCCAATACTCTTTCCTTCTTATTCTTCTTAAACTAATTCCTGTTTTTGCTGAGCCTAATACTGCATATTACATATATTTGCTCATTCCTTCAATTCCATTCCATGAAAACCAATGTAATCTTGCTGCCAGGTGCACCAGCAAATTGAAAGATACTGCAGAATGCTAACAGCTCAGGACAAAGGTTTGAGAATAAGAATGACAAACTGAAATGTTGGGATAGAAAGATGATAGATAGATACAAAGATAGATAGATAGATAGATAGATGATAGATAGATAGATAGATAGATGATAGATAGATGGATGAATTGTGTGTGCATGGATAAATAAATTTTCTAAATGTAGTGTTAAATTACATAAGCAAGAAACCATTGGCCTGAGGCTGTCTCTGTAATTTGTTTCTGTGTAATTAAATACAACTACATGAACACATCAATACCTAACTTAGGAGTCTCAATTTATGTAACAGATAGCCAGGTCTCAGCCAATCACAGGCAGCCAACTGATCAGACCATTTCCAAATAAGGCATATACCTAGCTTTAACCAATCAAGCTATTTCTATACTTACTCCCATGTTCTGTCTATAAATACTCACTGCCCATGTGGCAAAGCAGAGCTCTCTGAATCTTTTCAGATTCTGTGTAATGTGTGATTCATGAATCTTTCTTTTTTTTCCACGTAAATTCTGTTAAATTTATGTTGTCTGAAATTTTTCTTTTACAATAAGACTAAACCTTACTGTATGTGACTTGCTTTGCTCTTAGTAACAAAGCTAGAGAGAGTGTGGTTTTAAAAATAATATTTAGTTTAAATTGTACCATTGAAAATATATTAATCAGCATATATTTATTTATAGTATATTATGCTGATAGTGTAAATGTAGAGGTAAAACAGGTTAAAAAACAAACCGGCCCAGTGCCTGCCTTCATCAAGCTTACAATTGTTTTAGAACTCTCTCCTTAGTTCAATTAAAAGCTGGGGTCTCGTCACATGACCATGAAAAATTAGGCTCACAGACAATTTGAAGTCTGAGAAGAGCAGGGTTTATTGGGTGAAAAGGGCAAAGGCAAAAAAAAAAAAAAAAAACGGAAACAGGGACTCTCAGCAAAGCGAGACTCCTGCTAGGAGACTTCCTGCCTCACAGACTGAATCCCAAGTACCACCCCGGAACAGGAGGGGCCAGACTCCTCCCTGCTGCAAAGGGCAAGAACTTCCCATGGCTCCACCCATTTCTCCCAGTGTGCAGGCTGGTCACAGGTTCTCCAGGGACCTCTTTATACTTGGCTGTCTCACAACGACCACATGAATTAAGTGACTGTGTGATGGTTAATTGCGTGTATCAATTTGGCTAGGCTACGGTGTTCAGTTGTTTGGCTAAATAATAGGATGTTGCAGTGAAGGTACTTTTTAGATGTGATTAACATTTAAATAGATACACTCTGAGTAAAACAGATTACCCTTCATAATGCGGGTAGGCCTCATCCAATCATTTGAATGCCTTAAAAGAACGAGGGGCCCATTCCGTTCAGAACAGGAACGAATTCTGCCTCCAGACTGCCCTAGAACTCAAGACTGCAATAGCAACCCCTGCCAGAATTTCCAGCTTGTTGGCCTGCACTGCAAATTTCAGACCTGCCAGCCCCCACTAGATATAGGATATCTAGTATATCTCTAGATATAGGATATCAAGTATATGTCTAGATATAGGATATCAAATATATCTCTAGATATAGGATGATATAGAAATAGATATATAGATATCCTAGATATAGGATGACATATTTTATATATACTCATCCTATATCTAGATATAGAGTTCTATTTTCTCTGGAAAACCCAAATACAGACTGTAACAGCATTTCTTTTTTTTTTTTTTCTTTTTTAGATAGACTCTTGCTCTTGTTGACCAGGCTGGAGTGCAATGGCACAATCTCAGCTCACTGCAACCTCCACCTCCCGGTTCATGTGATTCTCCTGCCTCAGCCTCCCGGGTAGCTGGGATTACAGGTGCCTGCCACCACGCCCAGCTAATTTTTGTATTTTTAGTAGAGACAGGGTTTTGCCATGTTGACCATGCTGGTCTTGAACTCTTGACCTCATGATCAACCCGCCTCGGCCTCTGAAAGTGCTGGGATTACAGACTTGAGCTGTGGTACCACACCCGGCCTTGTAACAGCATATTAATCAATATACTGAAGAAAAGGGAAAAGTCATCAGGATGTTTCAAGAGATGTGACTGCTGGGCCATATGTAGATGATGGAAATATTTTTCTCTACATAGATGGGCATACCTTGTCCTAGAGAAAAATATAAATAGGGTGTGGACAGAAAGAGCTAAGGAAAACACCAGAAAGCCACCCTCTAGCACTGGGTTTATAGTATCCAATTTATAGTGCATGATTCAAGTCTATTCTTAAGTTTCTAGTTCAATATTAATGAATGAAGTCCTGCAATACTTATTTCATAATTTTTTCATTATTATTTCATACATATTTTGTTACTTCACTTCCTTGAGTATTTATTTTCATGAAGAGCACATTTTTTCCCATCTGGAAAATTCACCTCTGTACATTTCATACGTGAAAGTAAACATTACCGGATGAAAAATTATTGACACATGGCTGGGCGCAGTGGCTCACACCTGTAATCCCAGAACTTTGGGAGGCCTAGGTGGGCAGATCACAAGGTGAGGAGTTTGAGACCAGCCTGGTCAATATAGTGGGCAGATCACAAGTTGAGGAGTTTGAGACCAGCCTGGTCAATATGGTGAAACCTCATCTCAACTAAAAAATACAAAAAAAAGTTAGCCGGGCATGGTGGCATGTTCCTGTAGTCCCAGCTACTCAGGAGGCTGAGGCAGGAGAATCGCTTGAACCCAGGAGGTGGAGGTTGCAGTGAACCGAGATTGCACCACTGCACTCCAGCCTGGGCAACAGAGTGAGACTCCGTCTCAAAAAAAAAAAAAAAAGAAAAAAAAGAAAAAGAAACAGTATTGGCACAGAAACACTCCTTCCCCATGTTTTTGCTGCAAATATTTTTCTATGTCCTAACATGGAGTAATAATCAGAAGTCTTACCAGCTGAAGTCTTTTTTTTTCCTTTGTAAGCAACTTCTTTTTTTAATGCCTAGTTATCCAAAGACATTTGCCTTTATAATAATTACTTCTTAAAACATAGGAATCTATCAAGATATAGGTCTCTTGTCATTGTTTTTCCGTAGAAGTGAATAACCCTTTGTAGGAAAATTTTGGTGATACTGCTGATGATAATGATTATGATGGTCTTAGTTTAATTTTTGTAATATCAAGCACTCTCTCATTTTAACTATGAATTTTTAAATGAAAATCCTCAGAGAAAGACTGGAGTATTTCCTCTTGTCCTAAGTCAAGACATAATTATTTAAATGTCAGCTCTTCTCTTTCTATATTAAAAAGAGATTTTAATATTTTGATTTTAGTGTGTGTAATTTCCTTGGTATTCTTCTTTATCTTACGTATCTTTTTTTAATTTCAATCAGTTTAGTTTGCCTATCACCTTGCTTTTAACTTATGATTTTTTATTTATTTATTTATTTATTTTTTGAGACACAATCTGGCTCTGTCGCCCAGGCTGGAGTGCAGTGGCACGATCTTGGCTCACTGCAAGCTCCGCCTCCCGGGTTCACGCCATTCTCCTGCCTCAGCCTCTGGAGTAGCTGGGACTACAGGCGCCCGCCACCACACCTGGCTAATTTTTTGTATTTTTAGTAGAGACGGGGTTTCACCATGTTAGTCAGGATGGTCTCGATCTCCTGACCTCGTGATCCGCCCACCTCGGTCTCCCAAAGTGCTGGGATTACAGGTGTGAGCCACCATGCCTGGCCTTAACTTATGATTTTCTACAAAGGCCATGCCATCACATATTTTGATTTTATACCAAAAACTTTTTAAATGTTTTGAAATTCTTGTAGTAAATTATTTTTAGTCATCTGTTCCAACTTAATGTATTTATGGTGACATGCCATTATTCTTTTCTATATTGATTTTTCAGAAGTGTTATATTGTTGGATTTTTTTCTGTTTTCTTATCATTCAATAAAATAGGCCCTCTGAATTAATTCTGTGTAATAAACAGGTGTAATTATTGCCCTTGGCAGAACTCTGATCAGTAAACAGTGATCAAATCTGTTTATTAGATTTAGAAGGATGGCAGGCAGATACCTAAAGACTTTATGCCAGTTCCAAGTTTCTATAACAGTCTTTGATCTAATGCAATTCTGTTTGTCCCAAGTACAGATTTCTCTATTGCTTAGCCCGGAACTAATAAATAAATGAATAATTAATGTCATCACAATTCTCATCATGCTTCCTTTCTGGCTGTTGGTAGCTATAAAAATTACACTACCCAGATTTTGATACATCCACAGTCCTAGATGGACCTGTGTACATCCTTTCCTACAAGTTTTCAGACATAGCTCTCTTTCACTGGGATACACATGTACAAGGAGATAAGGGAGACGATTCGCTAGTAGCCAGGGCCATTTGGTTCAGGAGTAGGTACCAGGGCTTTGTCTTTTGTTAAAACTTTGTGTTTCTAATCCAGATGGTGAACAGAAAGGAAGGTGGAATGGACCACTTCCTAGTTTCTAACAGGTCATTTTAATCAGTGCGTAATACAGGTGGACTACCCAATGTGCCCTGCTGAATTTTAGTGATAGGTTTATAACTAGTCTTAGTTTAGGTTTGTCATGTGAGTTTTCGTCTTTTATGTTGTCTGCATATAAAATCATGTGAAAGGATATGCTGGGGGCTCCCAGACAAAAGCCAGATGACATTTTGAAATGAAAGCCAATTTTTCATGTATTATCTTATTCCCTGGTCATTTGATCTTTTTCTCAAATAATTAAGTCATTTAAAACATCTCTGTTGTCTTATTTAAATTACTTATTCAATGCATTTGAAACATTTTATATATACAAATTTGAAACTTTTGTAATAGACAATAGAAATCCTACAATCATCTAACAAGTACTTTATTTAGGTTTTAATTCATATATTAATTAAACCTCTAGTTAATCTAACAAAGAAGATATATCCCACACCCAAAAGATGTTAAGTTTACTTGTGAGCAAACTTGTTTATTTGAATTTATTAAAAGATGGCACTGTTTAAAACCTGACTGTACATGCTAAACAATTTTCTGTAGATACAAGAAACTAGAAAATTAATCTGATATAGATAATATAAATGCATATATAATCGAACTTAACCAACTGCTTACATTTATTATGATAGAGAATACAATTGTAAAGTAAGAGAATGCTTAAACTTGACAAGTCAAATGATTTGGAAATAATAAAACTGAAATTTCAGATTCATGTAACAGATCATGTGTTATGGTCACATTTATTTCCTAAGCAATATTCACTTATTATAAGTATAAAAAGACCCTATATTGGTTTTCTTTGAGAATTTTGGGTGGCCCTTATTAGAAAACTAATGGCAGCTGGGCGTGGTGGCTCACTCCTGTAATCCCAGCACTTTGGGAAGCCGAGGTGGGTAGATCACCTGAGGTCAGGAGTTCGAGATCAGCCTGGCCAACATGGTGAAATCCCATCTCTACTAAAAATAAAAAATAAAAAATAATTAGCTGGGTGTGGTGGCATGCACCTGTAGTACCAGCTACTCGGAAGCTGAGGCAGGAGAATCTCTTGAACCCAGGAGGTGGAGGGTGCAGTGAGCCGAGATCACGCCACTGCATGCCAGCCTGGGCGATAGAGAGAGACTATCTCAAAATAAAAAAAAAAAAAAAAAGAAAACTAATGGCAAAGGCCAGTATATAATTTCTTTAGACACATTTACCATAGCCTTGATATTATATAAGAAATTTGAGAGCAAAATCTATAATCTCACTTCCTGGATCTTCATTCTTCCTGTCCCAACGGTAGTTATCATAATTATCTAAACATAATAGGCCTTCAAAAACTGTTGCTGTTTGATTGATGGCATATATAAGGGTATTCAAAGATAATTATATCAAGATTCTCTGTGTGATTCATATAAACATATACACACGTGCACAGACACACACACATATATGTAATATTTACATTGGTTTTTGCATACCTTTTAAATATAACAAAATAAACTATGGTACAAAGCACTCTCATTTAAATCCAGCCTTCATCATCAATGTTTCACTGTGTAAATCTATGTATGGAGTCTCCACCTTACAATAGAATGGAGACCTTCAGGTATTTGGCAAGATACATTGCCAAGTTTTATTAAAATTCTGCTTATGATAGACTCCAGAGTTACTACTCCTCTACTTTTCTAACTATAAATCCTTCAGACTTGGAAATCTTTCAAGTCAAACCTGCTCGAATTATTCATGCTTGTGATTTTGCTTTTAAAACAGAATCTTTTCTACAAATACCTCACAGAGAAAGAAATAAAAATATGGCTGAGAATAAAAATGCATAAAAAAATCTATGCAGTAGTATTACCTGTTTGTTATACTTTCCTGTTTCAAGAGATATATATTGTTATGAGATTGTCTTTTAATGAGCTATTAGCAAAAAATAACACAAATATAATCTTGAACCTACTACAAGTTTTGAGTTAGACAGTCTTAACAATCTCAGGTCAAATTTTAAAACTCTGGGGTTTTTAAAATATTTTGATATTAAATAATCTAGCATTTCTTTCCTGAGGAAAATATTGCTCCCCAGGGGAACTTTGGAAATGTTTAGAGACATTTTGGTGTGTTGTGACCGGACGGGGGCTGCTACTGTTATCTAGTGGGTAGAGGCCAGGAATGTTGCTAATCGTCCTATAATATGCAGGATAGTTCCTCTGAACAAATAATTATTCAGTTGAAATGGCTACAGTACTGGGATTGAGATAAAATGGATTAAAATATATCCTGCTGAAGCAGAAATTTTTAAAAAGATAAAAGCAAGTTTTCCTGTACTTAGCTGACTCACTACAAGGCCAGCAATAGGCAGGACCTCGACAAAGCCTTGATAACACTATCTGGACAGCGAGAGCCCAAAGGAACAAGCTCCAGAACTCTCCCAACACCCCCTCAGAGCAAGGTTAAGAAAAACAAATTCCTTTACTATCTCCAATCCCCTTACCATTACTCAATTTCCAAATTTTGTAAGTTCCTGTTATTCCTTCGATGTGGCTGCAAGGTCACAAGACATGCCTGAGTGGCAAAACCTGTCACTGTATGATTAACTGCTTTTGTTCTGCTTCTATAAGCTCGCTTGCCCGCCTTACAGGTTTTGCACCACAAACCTGGCCCACCCCCTGTCAGATGCATGTATAAAAGTCAAGCCCTGTCTTTGTTCAGGGCCTAGCCTTTGGATGTCAATCTGCTGGGCCAGTGGCCACTTAAATAAAATTCTCCTGTTCCACCCGCTGGCCTCTCTGGTCCTCTGATTCTCACAACACTGCTATTTTTACTAGCTCAACTGCCTCAGTGACTTAAGTTTTCATCAACTGCTATGGTTTAACTGTGTCCCCTTGAAAATTCAGGTATTACGAATAATATTAATGAGGAAAGAATCCTAGTGGCCTATCACCTCTTAAAGTCCCCACCTCTTAGTGCATCACATTAATAACACCTGAATTTTATTTTTTAAAATTGTTTTTCTTTCTTTTTCTTTTCTTTTCTTTTATTTTTATTTTTTATTTTTTTTTGAGATAGAGTCTTGCTCTGTCACCCAGGCTGGAGTGCAGTGGCACCGTCTCGGCTCACTGCAACCTCTGCCTCCCGAGTTCAAGCAATTCTGCCTCAGCCTCCCGAGTAGCTGGGATTACAAGTCCATGCCACCACACCTGGCAATTTTTTGTATTTTTAGTAGAGATGGGGTTTCACCATGTTGGCCAGGTTGGTCTTGAACTCCTGGTCTCAAGTGATCCACCCACTCGGCCTCCCAAAATGCTGGGATTACAGATGTGAGCCACTGTGCAGGGCCAATAACTTATGAATTTTAAAGGGCATACATTCAAACCATATCATTCCACCCTTGGCCCACCAAAATTCGTGTCTTCCTCACATGCAAAATACATTATATAAGCAATTCATCCCATCTCAATATTCTCAGAATGTCTTAACTCATTCCAACATCAGCTCTAATGTCTAAAGTCTGGAGTCTCAGAATCAGATATAGGTGAGTATCAACACAGGATACATCCTTAGGCAAATTGTCCTCCAGCTCTGAGCCTATGTAATCAAACAAGTTATGTACTTCCAAAATACAATGATGGGGCAGGCATAGGACAGACGTTTCCATTCCTAAAAGAAGAAATAAGAGGCCAGGCGTGGTGGCTCACCCCTGTAATTGTAATCCCAGAACTTTGGGAGGCCGATGCAGGTGGATCACCTGAGGTCAGGAGTTCAAGACCAGCCTGACCAACATGGTGAATCCCCATCTCTACTAAAAATATAAAAATTAGTCAGGCGTGGTGATGGGTGCCTGTAATCCCAACTACTCAGGAGGCTGAGGCAGGAGAATCGCTTGAACCTGGGAGGTAGAGGTTGCAGTGAGCTGAGATCGTGCCATTGCACTCCAGCCTGGGAGACAAGGGTGAAACTCCATCAAGAAGAAGAAGAAAGAAGAAAGAAGAAAGAAGAAGAGGAAGAGGAAGAAGAAGAGCAAGAGGAGGAAGAAGAAGAGGCAGAAGGGGAGGAAGAGAAGGAAGAGAAAGAGGAGGAGGAAGAGGGAGAAGAGGAAGAGGAAAAAGGGGATGAGGAAGAAGAAGAAGGAGAAGAAGATGAAGACAAAGATGAAGACGAAGAAGAAGAAAAAAACTGGTTCCAAGTAAGTCTAAAACCCGACAGGGTTACCCACACTGGATCTTAAGGCTTAAGAATAATGTCTTTTGGCTCCAGCTTCTGCTTTCTGGACACAGAGGTGGGGATTTGTCCCCAAAACTCTGGCAGCCCCAATACCATAGGTTTGATGGGCACAGCCCAGGCTTCAGCTCTTACACATTAAAATTGCTTGTTGGCAGGTCTCCAAGGCTGACACTGCACACTGATGTGTCCACAGTTCTGGAGTCTCAAGGGTGGCCCTAGACATTGCGTTAGTGGAGACTCTCGGTGATACCCTGGACCCCACAGTTTCACTGAGCATTGTCCTAGTGAGTGCTCTCTGCAGAAGCTCCATCCTTAGGGCAGGTCTCTAGTCTTGGCCCGAGGTTCTCTGTAGCACCCTTTGAAATCTGGGTGGAGGCAGCCATCCTCCACAGCTCTTTATACTGTAAGCCTGCAGAGTTAGCACCACGTGGACACTGCCAGGGCTCCCCATTTGCAATCTTCATATCGGATTGCAGCCTAAGCTACACCTGGGCTCATTCAGCCACAACTGAGGCAAGTGAAGAGCACTGTGCCTGAAAAGGGCAAGCAGAATCCCCAAGGGACGTCGGCTAGCAAGCCACACGTTCCCAGGGGCAGCCTGTCCTCATCCATTTAAACGATTCTGCCCTCAAAAGACCATCCTAGCACTCGAGAAACAAGGATTTTATTGTAATATAGTAGAGTCTAAAAAACAAGTGAGTACTCATCTAAAGGAAAGTGGATTAATAAATTATGGCATATGAAATATTATATAGCCATTGGAATAAGAAAATATTAGAAAATATTAGAGCTATATCAGAAGACCTGGATATAAAGAATGTTCATAAGTATCATGGAGTGAGAAGAATAGAATAAATTAAAGATTATATACTGTAACTCCCATTACATAAAATAATCAATGACACAGAAGCTCAACATGTATCCGTATGCATGTGAACATGACTGACACATGTGTGTATATGTGTATTCATGCATATTTTAAGGTTGTGTTTCACAAGAAGTCCTTTCAGAGCTACTTTTTCTCCCATTTGTTTTCTAAGTCTGGTCCTCTGGGCAACCAACCACTCCTCTGTGTACCCCTGATACGCTGTGTGCGGTTTCTTTATTTATTTATGATTTTTAAAATTAACCAGTGTGGTCTGTACTGCTTATTAGGAGGTCTACTGCATTAGTCAAGGAAAAGTCATCTCTCCTTCCTGGGAGGTAGAGGAAAATGCTTTGCTGGGAAAATTATTGGAACATAATGTGATTTTAAAACTCAAACATATTGTAACTTAGAGTGCTACCTATTGTGTTGTGATACTCTGTAACCACAATTAGAAAAATCTGAAGCAAGAAGCATGCCCTTTGTCCTCCAGAAATAATTTGTCTGTATAATTTGAACACAGTGAAGAAATTTTTTAAATGTAGGAAACTTCTTTAAAGAGTGAAGTCCTTTAAAGTGCTCACACTCTGGTTCAGTAGCAAGAACTTATTTTTAAATGTTTGGCTATCTTTAAAGGGAGTTTTTATCTTGCTCAATATTGTCACTAAATACATCTTTTCATTACTGATTATAATTTATCTTCAGTTATTTTCCAAGTTGTCCCAATAATGGGTAATAGGAGTGGCCTTATTTCCTTAGACCCTCATTCAAGGATATAAATTATTTTTAACTAACTCAACTGTAACAGTACACTCATGTACTAGAGAGGCCTTGGGTTGAGTAATCTTCCTGTCTGGGTGGCTACATTTTATGTTTCCATCAAGTCCCAGATGATGCCTTTGTAACACCACACATAAGGAAACTAAAATACAAGGGGGAATGCTCTGACTCATGCAATATAAATTAAAAAAACGTTAAAGATCACAATATTCATTCATTTTTAATCCCTCCCCTTCCATATACAGGTGGTATATTCATTATCTCAGCTCACTTTGTCAGAAATAAATCACTTTTTGTTGTTTTTAATAATTAAAAATAAATTTAGTATTAGTTTTCTTTCCCCTTCATTTAACAGTTACCATGAGTAATTGCTGTAGAATTTCATGAAATGTGTCAGGCAGACTGCTGCAATTCATAATTGAAGTGGTTTTTGCTGTTTCCTAACAAGATTGTATTTTTCTTTTAACCAGAAATGATTATTTCCTAAGGAGTTGATTTTAGCAAAATATTAAACATGACTTTTTGTGGACAAATGATAGAGTCAAACTTGATTGAGCACAACACAACTTTGCAATGTGTTTTGAATTAACAGGAATCCAACAACCAATAACAGAATTACCTCAAGTTCAAAATTAAATAGATAAAACCTATGGATTTATTTCTCTTATTATTAAATATTTAATGGAGAGTTAAAGTCAACAGAAGTATCAGATTTCTCATTACAAGTAACATCAGAAGTGACGTGTTATCTTTGGATCAGACATTTTAATTTATAAGTGAGGATTCTTAAATTTTATCTGTGTAACAACTCTCTGTTCTTCATGATTAAATATTTTAAATGGAGAAAATTAATTTTGTGGGTGACTAATTCCACAGATGGAAAATAGTGCCTACCACCTGCTTGAGAGAAACTCCAACTGATGCAGTTGTCTAAACACCTGGAATTGAGTCCTTATTTTTTTCTTTACTTGTCTCATGACCTTGGAAAAAAAGGTGTATTCCCTAGACCTCAGACTTCATAAGCACAATAAAAAAATAGTAAAATATTATCCAACTATAGTCCTTGATTTGAAGCTCAACATATAAATCAAACTAATGTACAAACAAATACGTTAGGTCGGGCGCAGTGGCTCACCCCTGTAATCCCAGCACTTTGGGAGACCGAAGCGGGCAGATCACGAGGTCAGGAGATCGAGACCATCCTGGCTAACACAGTGAAACCCCGTCTCTACTAAAAATACAAAAAATTAGCCGGGCGTGGTGGCGGGCGCCTGTAGTCCCAGCTACTCCGGAGGCTGAGGCAGGAGAATGGTGTGAACCCGGGAAGCGGAGCTTGCAGTGAGCCGAGATCTCGCCACTGCACTCCAGCCTCGGAGACAGAGCAATACTCCGCCTCAAAAAAAAAAAAAAAATAATAATAATACGTAAATACTTCCAGATTTGGACTGGCCATGAGTATCACAAGGAGTAACATCATACTAAAATCCTGTTAATAACCTCTCAGAATTACACAGGCTAAAGCAGTTTTGTTTGTCTGCAAATATATTTTATACACATGGTAATAGAAAATAAAATTGAGAAAGCTTTTGTCAAATGCTGTCTTCTCACAAATACCACCAACAAAACATGTTTCTAAATCAAAGCTCAGTTTACTGCATGTTTCGGTAAAGGATAGTATTACCTTGTCAAAGCTTTAATATCATTGGGGGAATATTTGTGAGGTTTTGGAGTCTGTTTTAAGATAGGTCTTTTCAATGTAAGAATTTGACTGGATTGAGTAAAGAACATACTATTTCAGAATTAGAGAATACGACAATTGAAAATTTCAAATGTCTGGAGAGTAAACAATTGTTTGATGTTATCTGCTTACAATTTGAACAATCTTTGTATATTAAGTGGATTTTTTTTTTTTTTTGATGGAGTCTTGCTCTGTCACCCAGGCTGGAGTGCAGTGGTGCCATCTCGGCTCACTGCAAGCTCCACTTCCTGGGTTCATGCCATTCTCCTGCCTCAGCCTCCCGAGTAGCTGGGACTACAGGCTCCCGCCACCACACCCGACCAACTTCTTATATTTTCAGTAGAGACAGGTTTCACCGTGTTAGCCAGGATGGTCTCGATCACTTCACCTCATTCACCTCATGATCTGCCCACCTGGGCCTCCAAGAGTGCTGGGATTACCAGGTGTGAGCCACCATGCCTGGCAGATTTACATTGTTCAAAATAACGTCACTTTTATTAAATGCAAATAATACAATAGAGGTTTTAGTTAAACGTCACAAAAACCTAATAATAAATTACATCTAAATGAATAAATATAATTTTTATAGACAAATGAAGAAGAATAATTAAGGGTGCAGTGGTTTTTTTCCTGTAAACATCAATGAGTCTTATTATTACTACATTCTCCTTCCCAGTAATCTAATATACATGAAGAAGTTGCAGTTATAATTTTAGAAATATAGATTTTTAGAGAAAGCACAGAATACACAAATATTTCACTTCATGTTGTTACTAATATATTTTAACATGTTTATTTTGTAGACTGCATAATATTCACATCAAATCTATCAATTCCCATTAATACCTATTTAAATTAAAACTAAACATTTTATAACAGATAAAGGGAGGTCTAATTAATTTGAATAATTTTCACTGAAAAAACTCATCTTAAATTTTAATAATAATAATTTGTACATGTATCTATACAGAGTAATTTCACCCCAATCACATTTCTGAGTGTCTATTACTTTTGTTACTGAAACACCAGAGGTTCAGTCTAGGTCCCACTGCTCACCACACAGAAAGCCAATCACTGAGACTATGATTATTGCCAAGGAAGAAGGTTTTAATCAGGTGCTGCAGCCTAGGAAATGGGAGATCAGTCTCAAATCCATCTCCCTAAACAACTAAAATTAGGAGTTTTTATACCAGGGAAGTAATGTAACTATGTGTGAGAAAACAGGAACTCCGGAGGGGTAAGGAAGCATTCATGATGAATATGAGGCTTGGCCTGGCCTCTCATTGTCTAGATGGGATGATCTAGTGAGTTGCAGTTCTTTAATCCTTTTTGAGAGGCCTGGGGATCCTTTCCTGAGGAAGGAACTCAGATTAAACAAATCTAAGTTTCAAGCTTTAAGACCAGAAGAGTCAGTTTCTGTGTTTTTCCAAAAAAAACTGTCCACAGGACTTTTGGGTCGGTTTCAGTTTTATTTTAGCTTCCAATTGTTTTGGAGCCATATATCTAGTTTTCAAATGTTGACATATTGAGTTGACATTAAATCAGATGAAACAAAACTTTGTATGTCAATGATTATTTCAAATTTTCATACTGTAATTACAATATACCAGGACAACTCAATCTGTTTCTGAAACACCAGGGGTTCAGTCTAAGTCCAATTGCTGACTGCCCAGAAAGCCAATCACTAAGACAATAGTAATGCAAAGGTAGAAGGCTTTATTCAGGTGCTACAACCTCGGAGATGAGAGATCTGTCTCAAATCAATCTCCTCAACTGACTAAAATTAACAGTTTATATACCAGGAACGAAAAGTAACCATGTCTGGGAAAACAATTAGGGAGGGCTAAGGAAGAGTAGTTAGTCAACAGGAAGCAGGTGGTCAGTTAGGTCATCATGATGGGTGAGGACTGTGGCCTCTCATTGTCCAGATGCAGACATCTGGTAAGTGTCAGTTACTTGATAATATCTGGGAGGCCTGATGGTTGGTTTTCTGAGAAAAGAACTCAGATAAGACAAATGAAACTTTCCCTAGTTTTAAGATTGAGATGGTGAATTTTCATTTTTATTCAATTAATGCAATTAATTTTTTAAAAATTAAAACTGTCTTACTCTACAGTAATTGAACAATATACATGTTTAAATGTTATTTTTTAACTTCAAAGAAATTAAGCATTTGGCAGCACTAGTCCCAAGAAAAGTGGTAAAATAAATGGATATTGAAAACAAAATTAAATAAGAAAACTCAGTGTAAATGCAAACCACTAAAATAATAATTTAAAAAAAGACACATTTTCCAGGGTGAACAGTGGATGAAAATTACCTATGACTATAAAAAGAGATAGTTGGCCAGGTGCGGTGGCTCATGCCTGTAATCCCAGCACTTTGGGAGGCTGAGGCGGGCGGATCATGAGGTCAGGAGATTGAGACCATCCTGGCTAACACGGTGAAACCCCGTCTCTACTAAAAATACAAAAAATTAGCCAGGTGAGGTGGCGGGTGCCTGTAGTCCCAGCTACTCGGGAGGCTGAGGCAGGAGAATGGCATGAACCTGGGAGGCAGAGCTTGCAGTGAGCAGAGATCATGCCACTGCACTCCAGCCTGGGCCATAGAGGGAAACTCTGTCTCAAAAAAAAAGAAAAAAGAGATAGTCAAGATTTTAATGTGGAAAGGTATAGAACTTTAGTGAGTGAAATTAAAAACTTAGATAATGCTAATTATCTAAGAGAGATAATACTAATTAATGAGAAGCCAAGTTTATGAAGTTAATATTTAATGTAAAATTGATTCTATATAAATCAAATTGATTCAATATAATTCTAATAATGACTCTAATAGAGATTTTCATGGAATGTGACGATGATTTTAAATATATATGTAAAATAAAAGATCAAATTATTCAGGAAAATTCTGAAGAAGAAAAGTAAGATTTGCCCTACTGTATATTTTATATGGAATTATATTTAGCAGGACAATGTGGTGTTAGTGCATCTATCAACAAATTGATGAATGCAGTAGGATAAGTGCTTGAAACCAGGCCCACACATGATGGAATTTTGGTAAATGGACAAAGAAGCCATGTAAAAATCAGTGGAGCAATAAGGCCTTTTTCAATAAAAGGAAATTACAAGAATTTTGCTACTTATATTTAAATAATATTAAATTGGATCCCTCCCTCAGATAAATTAACAAATTTATTGTCAAAATTAAACTGGAAACCCTCCGTTAGAAAATTTAGGTTAGTATCTTTTACAAACTGTAATATGTAAAAATTCCTTAAACATAACACAAAGGTACTGACTGTAAAGGAAAGACAGAAATCAGCCATTCTAATTTATCTAAAGATACAGTAAGATAAATGGAAAATAATAATAATAAATATCAAAAATATTATTTCTGATGCTCATAAATGATAAAAGATTGGTTATCAAGAAGCTATTAATAAGTCTTGCAAATTAATCTAAAAAGCTCATATAACTAGTAGAAAAAATGGTTAAGAGACATAAATAAACAACAGAAGAGGAAACAAATATGCCTGTATACGTAAGTCAAGATGTTAAACACCATCAGTAACTTGGGAAATGCAAATCCAGGCAACGAAGAGATGCCCTTTGACACCCATTATGTGGGGAAAAGTAAAATGATGTAGACCTATTGTTATATTTTATATTTTTCGGTGAAAATGTAAATTTGTGTAACTGCTTTGGAAAGTACATGGTACTGACTCCTAAACTAGACTTTTCACATACTTCACAACTCAGCAGTTTTCCTCCTTTCTGTGTTCCCCTAAATAATCTCTTATACATGTGCAACAGGAGACAGGTGCAAGAATGTTCAAGTTATTACCTTTCTGTATAGTAAAACCCATGAATCAAGTTATATTAGTTATAAATTGTTCTATCACAAATTACCCAAAAACATAATGTCTTAAAACAAGCAGCATTTATTAGCTCACAGTTTGAATCACAGTGCCTGACTCAGGGTTACTCAAAGGACTGCGATCCAGGTGATACTCAGAGTTTTGGTGAATTTAAAGCTCAGCTAGGGGACAATCTCCTTTCCTTCTCACTGATGTAGCTAGTGACAGTCTTCAGTTCCTCACTGACTGTTGGCTAAAAACATTAATTCCTTATGTGAATTGTTCCATGGGGCTACTCACAGATGGCTTCTTGCTTCCCCCCAGAGTGAGGGCTCTGAAAAAGAGGCAGGATGGCAATCATTGTATTTTTATAATCTCTTCTTGGAAGTAACATCTCAAAACTTTTCTCACGTTCTGTTTCATAGAAGAAGTCCAAATTTAAGGTGAGGAGCTAACATAATTGTGAGAATAGTGAGATACAGGGATTATTGGGAGCCATCTTTTTTTTTTTTTTTTTTTTTTTTTTTTTGAGATGGAGCCTCACTCTGTCACCCAGGCTGGAGTGCTGTGGTGCGATCTCGGCTCACTGCAACCTCTGCCACCTGGGTTCAAGCAATTCTCCTGCCTCAGCCTCCTAAGTAGCTGGGACTACAGGTGCCTGCCACCACGCCCAGCTAATTTTTGTATTTTTAGTACAGACAGGGTTTTAGTAGAGACAAGGTTTAGTAGAGACAGGGTTTCACCATGTTGGCCAGGATGGTCTCCCCATCTCTTGACCTCGTGATCTGCTGGCCTTGGCCTCCCAAAGTGCTGACATTACAGGTGTAAGCCATGTCGGCGGGCCTGGGAGCCACCTTAAAGACAGCCTACAACTGGACCTAAATGCCTAGCAAAGGGAGAGTAAATGAATTACAGTATAGTCACACAATGGAATATCATACAATATAAAAGATGAGGCCGGGCGCAGTGGCTCACGCCTGTAATCCCAGCACTTTGGGAGGCTGAGGTGGGCGGATCACGAGGTCAGGAGATCGAGACCATCCTGGCTAACATAGTGAAACCCCATCTCTACCAAAAAAATACAAAAAATTAGCCGGGCGTGGTGGTGGGTGCCTGTAGCCCCAGCTACTCCGGAGGCTGAGGCAGGAGAATGGCGTGAACCCAGGAGGCGGAGCCTGCAGTGAGCCGAGATCGTGCCACTGCACTCCAGCCTGGGCAGTAGAGCGAGACTCCGTCTCAAAAAAAGAAAAAAGATGAATAAATACAGACTCCCATATTTCTAAATCTTAGCAACACAATATCAAGTGAAATAAGTAAGTTCCTTCAAATCACAAAGAATGTACTACACATTAAAGTTTTTAGGAACAATTTTTATTTAAATAGATTATACTTTTGAAGAAATACATATATATAAATGCATACATATATACGTTTTTTTTTTTTTTTTTTTTTTTTTTTTTTTTTTTTTTTTTTTTTTTTTGAGACAGAGTCTCGCTCTACCGCCCAGGCTGGAGTGCAGCGGACTATCTGGGTTCACTGCAAGCTCCGCCTCCCAGGTTCACGCCATTCTCCTGCCTCAGCCTCCAGAGTAGTGGGACTACACGCGCCCGCCACCACGTCCAGCTAATTTTTTGTATTTTTAGTAGAGACAGGGTTTCACCATGTTAGCCAGGAGGGTCTCAATCTCCTGACCTCGTGATCCTGCCGCCTCGGTCTCCCAAAGTGCTGGGATTACAGGTGTGAGCCACCGTGCCAGGCCAAATATGTGTATTTTTAAAATATATATTACTCAAACATATAAACATATAATGCTTTTAAATACATTAATAATATATAAAATATAAACATAAGTATTTTATACAGTTATAAATATTTTACTTAATGTACAAATAAATTTTAATATATTTCACACATACACACATGACAGCAAGACGGGTTAGTAAAGAGGACCATGTAGTTAGATTTAGATGATTATGGAGGTTTCAACTTTTTGTTGGATAATGATTTTGAAGATACTAGTACCTTGTTAAAAATTTAAACATGGGCCAGTAAAAGGAGTGCATAATAGCCAAAGAATTACATGTGCTGAGTCTGCTTTCTATGGTCCAATTGAACGAACAACATCAATCACTATAAAAAGTGGTGGTCTAATTTCATTAAACGAACAAAAATATTAACAAGTATAATAAAGCAGTGGTCAGATATGGGCTAATGTAAAATGTAGGGGAAAAGGATGAAAAATATGAGAAGAAAAGTAAATTTTCATTTTTGGTCATCATCTTTGAGAGAAATAGTAAACTTCTGGTTTCTCCCTGTATAAAAAGATATCATAATAGGTAGGCAGGTTCAATGCATGCTGATTATCAGCAGCTCTGACAAGTGGAAAAACCATTTTCAGTCCTCCTGGCTGGTGTGCCCATGACTGCTGACTTTCCCCAGCCTTGGCCAGGAAAACTCCTAGAAATTACTCTGCATTTGAACACCATTAGCAACTGTAGCTGCTGTGCGGTACCCGTACTCTTGTATGTTGTTATTATAGCCTGTAAATCTGCTGGTTTCCATCTGGGCTTTAACTTCTCTGCAAGGTATTACGTATAGCCTTTCATCAGGAAAAAAAAAAAAAAAAAGCCATGAAAAAGTCACCAGCCTATTTCCTTCTTTCAGCTATGTTTTGGAAGAGGCTAGAGAAGGTATGTTGACTAATTATTGACTCACTCGACATATTTTTGGGTCATTTTGAATTAGTAAGAACCCAGAACCCATCTAACACAAATATTTAGCTGCTGTTACCATCAACGGCAAAAAAACTAGGGGAAAAAAGTATGATCATAAACAATGTAATAACTTAGTATAGATACCCTAATTAGATGTGTTCAGAATTCATAGAAGCTACAAAGAAAGGTATGTTTAATTCTACCTGCAGGGCTAATGAGGATGTTCATAAAAGATACCAATGGGCTCATGCTGCACTTACCAAGAAATATACAAGTAATTGAGCAATTAAATATACATAGTAATTAAACATATGACTGATTACAAACAAACAGGGAACTTGCTTACTTATCTCACTCTCGCCCAGCCTAGAGCTCCACAAGGTAGACTTTACTGTTTACCATGTGCTTGACTCACATCAAAAATCAAAGGTCACAATGATTTTTTGTTTTATAAGATTTTATAGTAAAAACAATGGAAAATGATCCCTTGAACTTTTTTACCTGTCAATCTCAACTGAGAATAACCCCTTGAACTTTCTAACTTTAATTTGCAAAATAATTTTGACTATTAAGTTCTCCATAAACACCTAGCAGTATTTAGATAATATGGATATGTTTGAGAGAAAAAAACAGAATTATCTGTGGAAAGTACTCAAAGAGGTATTGGCTAATATTCAAATGAATATACCTTTATAAGATAAATTCTAGTTAAACTTTGTCTTGAAATAATATAAACAAGAAGTCACTGCATAACTCTAGGTAAAGTGAGACTATAACAGACTAAGGCCAGATCAGGTCTACCCGTTGATTTAATGGTATCATTTTACTAGTGACATTCTTCAACTCGAGAAGATGGAAGTGGATGAGACTTTCTTGAATCACTTGTTGATTTCAGCGGACCCAAGATTTTTCAATTCTATAATTCTGGGAAATTACAAGACAAAATCTAGAGGAATATGTTATAAGCCAGAAATAACATCTGATGCAGAAAGCAAAGAGAACAGAAATAATGGCTCAATTTTAGGAAATAGAACCACAACTACAGTAGAAGGAAAAGGAGCTAACTTAAGAAGCATGTTAAAGTATTAGAACATCCAGTAATTTGCCTGAAAGTGATAGCCGAATATCACAGGAAAAGAGAACATTAATAGACTATTGTATAAACTACAGTAAAATGAAATAAGGCAGAAATGCATATTTAAAATACAGAACACTTTATATCTCAGGAAAATAAGTGTTCCCAAGAGTACAATGCTTCAAGTTGGGACTCTCACAAACCACTAAGAATATATACTTACAAAACATCACTAGGAGCTTTGGTTCACACACCTGTTGAAAATCCTGCTCTAACTGAAACAATTATAGGGATGCGTGGGCTACTTTTCCAACAGGCAAATCTCATAGGTATAAGAAATTCCATTGCAAAAGCAGTGGCAATATCTACTGTAGCACAGGGAAGTGCATGCTCAAAGGAAAGAGTAGGAGTTGTGTTGTTAGGTAAAACTCATATACAATGCAACATCAGAGTACCAAAAATGATGGGCTAAAGAAGAAATGGAAGTTTGAAATATTCTGATTGAGGAAGACACCAAAGTAATTCCTGGTGAATGAAGTTACTATCACTGAAAATTTCTAAATTTTCCAGAAAGAAATATTCAAATGTTTCTCCCTGAGACAAGAGACAATATCCACCATTCTATCAAAAATACATTAAATCATACTGTGATAATGATTTTAGCATAAAAGATATATCCTAATGAATTTAAGCTCATAGGTCCTTTAGACATTAAACTGATTTGCTCTGGAGGCATCCAGTGTATCTTTTCCCTGGCAGACATGTAGCCTGCATTTTCCAGTCTTCCTTACAGTTAGATTGGCCATACTACTATGTTCTTACCAATGGAATGTGGGCAAAAATGATGTATGCCACATGCAGGCCTGATACATAAAAACTTCTCTCATGATCCTCAGCTCTCTTCTGTCATGATCCTCAGCACCCTTTGACCAGTTGGATATGAATGCTCTAGGTGACTTTGGGAGCCTTGCCATGAAGTCTACAATCAGTATATAATGGCATAGAGTGCAGCCTTGTATTTCCCATTCCACACCACCTCCCTTGAACAGAAAATGAGCTTCTATTGTGTGAAGCCATTAAAATATTGATGTTTGGCTAGGCATGGTGGCTCACATCTGTTAACACCCAGCACTCTGGGAGGCCGAGGTTGGGCAGATCACTTGAGCCTAGGAGTAAGCCTGGCAACATGGGAAAACCCTGTCTCTACTAAGAAAATATACAAAAATTAGCCAGGCATGGTGGTGTGCACCTGAGTCCTAACTACTCACTGAGTCCTAACTACTCGGGAGGCTGAGGTGGGAGGTTTGCTTGAGCCTGGGAGGTGGAGGTTGCAACAAGTCGCAATCATGCCACTACACTCCGGCCTAGATAACAGACTTAGACTCTGCCTCCAAAAAAACAAAACAAAAAAAGTTGGTGTTTATCTGCTACAGCACCTTATTTACATTACGAATATTCTCATAGATTGATTAGCCTTCTAGCATGGTTGAAACCAAGACAATTGTTCTCCTTTTTCCTTCCTCTAGCATCACTGATTTTATGCCTTGAGTTTGGCATCATTAACCTGGATAGCTAATGAACCAACCATTGTGTTCATTATGAGAACATAATTTTGCTCGAGGCAGTTACAGGGTTTGGATGTTAGTATGGGCTATGATCTTTAGTGGTCTCTGATATTTTGGATTATTTCATAGAAGAACCTCTGAAAGTCTAGATCAACATCTGAAGACCTACTAGGAACATATCTACTCTATAAAAGGGGGCCTTGGTTAAAGCTGTGGAAGAAGCACCATGTCCGCACAGGCATTGGAATGAGACTACTCTGGCTGAAACAAGAAAGAATAGTAAATAGAGAAGGATAAACTCATAATTTATTTGATTACAATTCTTTAGACTTTAATTTTCATGTTTATTTGTACATTGGCTTTTAATTTTTCCGTAGGGTATGCTGATAAATCTGAATTATATTTGAAATTGAGCTTTCCATATGTTGCTGTATATTAGACAATACTGCCCTTTCATCTATTTGCAAATCATTGAATAAATTCTTTTGGATATCATAACATACATAATGGTGGGTGTATTTGCTCATTTTCACACTTCTATAAAACACTTCCCCAGACCAGTTAATTTATAAAGAAAAGAGGTTTAATTGACTCATAGGTCAGCATGGCTAGGGAGGCCTCAGGAAACTTAGAATCATGGCAGAAGGTAAAGGGGAAGCAAGGCACCTTCTTCACAAGGTGGCAGGAAAGAGAAGTGTCGAATGAATGGGGAAAAGCCCCTTAGAAAACATCAGATCTTGTGAGAACTCACTCACTGTCACAAGAACAGCATGGGGTAAACTACCCCCATGATTCAATTACCTCCACCTGGTCTCTCCCTTGACATCTGAGGATTATGGGGTTTATGGAAATGACAATTCAAGATGAGATTGTGATGGGGACACAAAGCCTAACCACATCAGTAGGGAATTGAATAAGAAGTTAAGTTTTAACCTTGAGAACAGAGTAAACCAGAATTAGTTAAATTTAATAGGCTTTAATAAACAATTTCAGAACCTTGTAGTGAAGGCTAAACTAAGCATTGGTTAGGCCCAGGATGGCACCAAGAGGAACAATAACTGGTCTAAGAGAAAAAGCCTTGGTGTGTTGACAGAAGGACCATAGTAATAGATCACCTGTCAGTCAAAAGGTGATACTTTGTCCCTCTTTTCTCTGATTTCTGCATTTATTGATCAATTGATTCTAAACCCTGTAAAGGAAGAAGAATGTCATTTCCTAAAACCATAAAATCCCATATTTTACTATGTGCCAGTAACTCTTCTTTGAGAAACATACAGATATGTGATAAACGGGAACTAAGAAAGAATAAAATCTATTATGTATACCAGTTCAGACAGGAGAAAACAAGAGACATCTATTTTCATTCCTATACCACTAACTAGTGGGTGAATATGAGCTAAGCATCAATTTTCCAGCAATCAATATGCACCAAACTTGCATTTTCCTTTATTTTCAGCAAGACAGCCTTAACATTCCTCTCAGTTGGGCTAAACTTGGGACAGGTTTATTTCTGATGATGAGCCCCTGATATCCTTTTTCTTAGAGTATTTATTTTAGAAAACTGGCAGTTATAAATCCTTCCTCTTCCCCATTGAGATATGTCTTCTCCCAGCCTCTTACCCGTTTTACAACCCAGAAATGCCTTTCTCAAGGACCTGGCAGCCATCCCTTTGAAATGTAATCATTAACTAAGATAGCTCTCCTAACCTCTGTCTCTTTGGGAGAGTAGGAGCCTAACTTCAATACTGCCAACTGGCAAATACAGATGGCCTAATCACTTGGACTTTCTTCTCCATAATGTCCTCCAGTTTTTTTTCCACTAGCTCAACCCAGTACTTAAACAAAAAACAAACAAATAATACTTTGTCTTTTATTTCACTGGAAGTGAGTTTACTCTCTTTCCCTATGGTAACATTCCTAATTCCTATTGCAATAGTCTTAAAGAAAAAATTCTCCTTACCTGTTTAACCCTGACTGGTGTAATTTCTCTTTGATATCCTCATTTATACTCTTCACTTGTGAAAATCCATGACCAAAGTGACACATTTGTTGTATTATGTTTCATGAAAGCTATTGTGAACTTTGTGAGATTCTTTGTTTAATAAAGTATACCAAAATCAGATGAGTATAACACTAGCTTGCTCAACCTGTGGCTCATGGGCTACATCTGACCCAGGATAGCTTTGAATGCATCCCAACACAAACACGTGACCCAGGATAGCTTTGAATGCATCCCAACACAAACTCGTCAACTTTCTTAACGCATTATGAGTATTGTGCGATTTTTTTCTTTTTTTAGTTCATTAGCTACAATTAGTGTTAGTGTATTTTATGTGGGGCTCAAGACAATTCTTCTACTTCCAATGTGGCCCACAGAAGCCAAAATATTGGTCATCCTTGGTATAGCAGATTGAAACTATATATAAGTCAGTTCATGAAGAGAAGTCACATAGGAATCAGGACTTCCCATTGCTTTTCTCATGACGTGTTACCTTACTTAATTTCTTAAGATCAGTCTTGTGGTCTGTATGCAATCCCTTGTGATATGTTCATGAATCAGGAGAGTGGAATGAATATCATATATTATCTCTAGTATCAAATACCCAAACTAAGGAGAAGGCAGAGATTTCATAACAGAGTTTTAATCTATAGCTGCCAAAGGGATTGAATGTTGTATCTGTTACTAGGTTAATCATATATTTATTTCCACAGTTTTCAGCTTTATTATCACAAATGTTTGTGTAAACTAGGGAAGAAATTACGATAAAATATTATGTTGAAAAAATACTTTATATGTAAACTAGTGTAATCTTTTCATGTTATATTTAAAGAGACAGATGATTCACCATAATTCTTATCTTCTTTGCTTTGAACATAAAAGATGGTAAATGAATATTTGTTATATAAAAATAAGTTCATAAAAATAATGTTATGAGTCGTTTAGTCCTATAAAGAATGAGACTACTCTGGCTGAAACAAGAAAGCTGGCATAAAGAAAGTTCACATGCCAGCTTCCTGATTTGATGTCACCAATTATGAATATTTATTATGAAACTTAGTTGAAATTGTTTTTATTCATTTACTTATTTAATAAATATATATAATGAACTTAGTTTCCTTCCAGAAATTATTCTCAGGCCTGGAGATAGACAGATAAACAAAAATAACTAGGTTAATAAAAACCTTAGCCCTCATGGGCTTTATATGTTAGTACCAGTAGAGAGATGATAACAAGGAAGTAAAATATGTGATATCTGGTTTTGTGAGTTAATAAAAAGAAAATATTTCCTAACACTGGAGTTTAAAGAAGAATGGATTGCATCCTGCCGAATATGCCCAGCTAAAGTATATATTGTTTTTACTATTAAGAAGTACCATTCTTTTCAGGAATTTTTCTTAAGGAAAGTTGTCAGGGTCAAGAAGACAGTGAACTTCATTTATTTTCTTCTTGGTTCTATGTTGTCATAAATCTCCTTGACATTTGCAAATTTATTTAACCATTCTGTAGAGTGAGGACACTAAGTCTTATTTATCTCTCTTTTTGTCCATATACAGCTTTGTGGCTTGGCATGGTGCCTACTTTCTCTAGTCTCTGCTGCTTGGGAGACTGAAGTGAGAGGATAAGAAAAAAAACCTTTGTGAAGGTTTGAGGTGAAGTGATGGAAACTATAAACATTAATACCCAGATTACCAGGCAATATTTTTGTCATATTAAATTGAAAAATTTTGCAATTAATAAGCACGCTATAACATTATATATAGACTTAAGACCTCAAAGCATTTAAACCTAGGCAACAACAGATTTCAAATATAGAACTAAATCTAGTTATCATAGGCTGAATCGAATGACTTCCATGTCACTTCTTGATACTTATGAATATAGGTGAAACAGGTTCTAGGGTTTTTTTATCCTTTTACTGGAAATTAACATTATACTCTTTCTTATTCAATTTTGCTGCAGGGTTTTATGTTGAAATAAGCTTTCTTTTACAGGTCTAGAATTAAATCAATATAAATGCAAGCAGATGTAGTTGTCCTTTTGTATTCTTGGGTGGGAAGATGCTGTAAAGATTATTTAGGCCAGCTTCTCCATTTCTAGAGATCAAGAGTTAAGTCTCAAAGCAATTACTTCTGAAATAGCATTATAATCTTGCTCCTCTGACACTCAGCTCATCAATATTTATTCCAGTATTTTATACTGCATTGCTTGCTTTAAGTTGTCTTTGGTATGCTATAGTACTGGAGCAGGATAAATCAGTAGCACATCATAATATGTTAAGAATTCAGAATATAGTGTGTTCAGAGCAACTTTGCTTCTTGAAACAGGATAGCTCTTGAGCTATCAAATATGGGCCATTCTTATATATACTATTGTTTTGTCTTTTTTTTTTTAAATTTTGGAAACTAAGAATTAGAAATCCTAGCCAACTACCTGAGTGTATGTGCCAATTATATTTAGTCAGATAATTTATATTTAGTCAAATATACATTATTTTTATTTATATTTCTATTTATTTATATTTAGTTATTTATATTTATATTTAGTCAAACAGTCTCCTAGGTTGAGGAACAAACTTATTTATTTTGAAAGAGCAAGTTGAAAATTTTAACAAAATTTGATTCATTATTTTGGTGTAAAGTACTTTATCCAAAATATAAAACAATATTGGTTTGATTATAAGAATGTTGTACTGGTCCTGATATAAATTGTGTCCATATCAGCACACAAATCATATAAACAAAATTTACTGAGGGGAAATAAAGGCAATCTCAATAGTACCACGTTTGCTTTCCCCAACATATTCATTGTTTCCTCAAAAAACTTCTTACTAAACATGATATTGATTTTTTCTTTTCTGTTCATATGAATTATTCATTCACTTAAGTAACAATTATATATTGAGTTTTTTTAATGCATTGAATACTTACTAAACTCTAGGGATATGCACATGGACTGAACCTAATCCTTCAGCTGAAGGAAAGTCATGATCTACTGGTGGCGGAGTTGAACATTAATCATGACATTTCGTTGAAGGTCAAGATGAAAGAAAGAGAGGTGATTATTGAAACAATGAAGTAAAGACTGAGCAAACAGATGTAGAGAACATCCTTTTGATGGAGGGTAGAAAAAACACGTAAGGAATACCAGTAAGTAATGTAAACCATGTAAATAATACCAGTAAGTAATGTAAAACATGTAAGTAATACCAAAGATCACCCTTTGTGATGGAGGGCAGAAAAACCACGTAAGTAATACTGGTCAGTCAAAGAAGTTCCAGATGGCTAGCTTCTGAGCCAGGGCTGTAAAATAAAAGTGCAATCCGTAAACAGGCACATATGCAATTATGATTTTCTAGTAGCTACATTAAAAAGTCAAAGAAAACTGGCAAAATTAATTATGATACCATTATTTAATCAATATATACTAAATGTTATCCTTTCAATAGATAATAATATGAAATTATTAGAGATATATTTTACATTGTCCTTAATATTTTAAATGTATTTTACAAATATAGCACATTTTGATTTGGAAAAGCCATATTTCAAGTGCTTGACAGTCACATGTGGCTAGTAGCTTCCTTTTAGAACAGTGAATTTTTAGACTGCTAGGTTCTATATTCTCCATGGAGAAAAAGTGGCATTATGATTTGAAGGTGTTACATGATGGGGTAAGAAGGGAAAAACATTGAAGACTTGCAATGGCCACTGAAGACACAGGGTGGCGACCATTAGGGAGATATGAACCTGTTGTGTTATTCTTTGGAAGACCTTTTAGACATTTTTCAACACTATCTGCCCTTTCAGGGCATCTTTCAGTTGCCTGGGCCATTTACTGATATCTTAATGGAGTTGCTGCTAAGCTAAGCATCATAATAGCTTATATAGGTGGGTAAGGACAATAAAAGAGAGTTCCAGAATTCTCTTCACTTGGAGTAAATCTAGTTTATTCTACTCCAAAAAAGGCCAGTTTGCTATAAGAAACTCACAAAATACAACTGGAATCAGTAACTCTTTACTCCCCAAATCAGAGATCCAAGTCATGTACTCTCTGCTGTGTGATTTTTATGTGGCTAAAATTAATTGTATTTTTCACGACTTGGATGCCTTTGCAGAGGGGTGTCTGTTGGAGGGATGTTAAAGTAACACATCCCCACCTCCACATAACAATGATCTTAAAATTTACCTTTGTTTGCCCTTTTCTTTCAAACTGTAGGGCAGCTAGAATTCTGAGAGGAACAATAGATAATAGTTCATCAGTTGTGTGGTTTAGATATGTACTTTTAAAACTGAGTGCTAATCTTGACTTCTATACTTTTTTTTTTTTTTTGCCATTCTCTCTAGCCGTGCTAGAATGTAAGTTCCTTTAGGGTGGGGATTTTGATAGTGTTCTCCACTTATGTATCATAAGCACCAAAACCCCAGTGCCTAGAGAGAGCAGTGGCTCAATGACTCTTTATTGAACAAATTTTCACAATTGATCTTTCATGTTCAACACAACTCAGGTGGAGTTGGGTGTTATAAAATTATGGTGTAACCAATTGCAGGGTTGTTTGAGTTTTTTTTTTTTTAATGGCCTGCACTTTGACCAGCTGGTTCTGGCAAAAGTGTAGATGAGAAATCAGGTAAAGCAGATATTGGAGGGAAGAGGTCAAAGTTATCAACTCAGCAATCAATAGAACTCAAGCATAATTGTTAGACTGAATACAGTGATATTTCCACAGCCCAATAGAAATGGCCTAATTAAATGTAGTAGTGGCAGCCAAGATTTTCTTATAACCATAGAATTGTGTTGCAAAAATTAGACCATTATAATTCACATTATAATTCACCATAGAATTGTGTTGCAAAAATTAGACCATTATAATTCACATTCTAATTTTTGTGTTGCAAAAATTAGACCATCATAATTCACAGTTCAAGATAATTGTCACCATCAAGCAAGTGCTTGGATTCTTTAATTTGTCAGCTATGCAACACTCTAACTTCCCCAGCCAATCAATGCCTTCTAACTTCAGTATGAAATTCACAAAATTCAAATTCAATCTTAATTATAACTGTAGATGAAAACCAGAGATGGTTTTACTTTGGTTTATTTCTCAAAATCTTTAAATTAAGTAACATAAAAAGTATTTATATTTCTTCTTTTCCTGGATATTGATGACTTTTATTTTTGTAGGTTTAGCTTTTCTTTCTATTCTTTCTAGGCACCACCAACTGAGAAACCACCACAACAAAATTGATCCTGTTTTCTCTCTCGCAATTCCCATTATGATCTTATTTCCTTGGACCTCTAGAATTTGCATATCTCTGCTTCATGCATAACTACGGCAAATTATTCTTGTAAAGTAATCAGTTAATATGGGTAAAGCATTTAGTACTTCTGTCATATTCGACACCATGTATGTGTTTTTTTCAATAACTGAATGAATGACTAAACTTCTAATCTGACATACATACATAAGTTGTACTGTTGAAAGGAGATGGTGATGAGAGAAAAGGAAAGCCCGTAGTGATTTATGGAATCACCATTTGTAATTTCTTGTCATAAGGGAATATATCTTCTTACTCCTTTTAATTTTAGTATGAAGGCATTTTCTGGGTGACTTTGTATTAAACATTATCATAGTTATTTTACCTCTTTTATGCTTTCATTAGAAATATTCCTTTTTAGGTTATTCTAAAATAAAATTAGAATCTTGAACATTCTGCTATATCAGAAAGAAAATCAGGCAATTTCATGTTATAAACAATGGCTAGATGGATTCTTCTGTAATTATTACATTTTTCAACTTTTCACATGTAGACATCATATCCTATTCAGGCTTCTCAAGTGAAGGATTATTTTGTCAAAATGTAAGTTTCAAAGAGTGAAGCCTTTTGGCTTCTAAACAAATTTAAAGTGCACACATGTCAAAATTTATTTAGTTCATTATAAGATAACAAGACTAGTTCAAAGAGAGTTGTTGAAAGGCATATTTATGTTTCGCTAGAAGAAAGAATGCATGCTTGAATAAAATTTGTAACTTATATACAATATTAACTAATGTGTATAATGGCCTGTGGATCATATTTTTATAACAGAAACAATTTGTACCTGTCCTGGACAAAATTCATTTGTATGGCTATCATTTAAAAATTCTACTTTTTTATACTTTCTAAAAGCAAATATATCCTTATAGAGTTATACAATATCCTAATCAATAGTCAATAACATGTCTAACAAGTTACATACCCCTGAAGTTAATCCTTAGGTAGGCTTGGTCAATGTCCAGCACATCACTGGAAGAACACACAATCATCTCTTTTGTCTATTTATAATTTTTTCTTAATAATTCTTCCACCACTACGTTATGTGGGGTTGGAATAGAGATACCTTTTTTGCTTCTACTCTAATATCATTTCTGGTTTACCAAATGCTCTATCATATTATATGATCTGCTGCTGCTCCTCTCCATTGAAGCTTATTCTCATGTCTATTCATCTGTCCCCTTGTCATCTATCAAACTTGTGGGCAGGAGCCTCACTCAGGAAGTCTCTGACATGTGACTCACAATCTTCCCACCTCACTCTTGCCACCATCCTGGGTGACATGAACATCCCACTTGTAATCTGACTGACCCATTGGACTCTCAGTTTTATGTCTTCTTAGTCTTAAATAAGATCCTCTCCCTTTCTTTCGTCTCTGACTCTCAAAGTTACACATATTATTTCACTAACCAGAAGTTGGTACTTCTGAAATGTAACTTCCTACAACATAAAAACAAATGTCCATACTTCTAGTGTACTTGCAAATGTATTCTCACTAAGCCTGTCATCAACTTCATGAAAATCTTTTGTGAATTGACTTATCTTTTTTTTTTTTTCAATCTGGAATTATCTCCTGCTTTCACCTCATCCTATTGGCTAGGAATTCATCCTCACAACACAAACTACTGTCCTTATGCTATTTTATTTCACATGTGCATAGAAGAACACCATCCCTGTAAAACACAATGATCTATTATTTCTATTCATGTTTCTGGACAGGCACTGCCATTGTCAAAGTCACACATCTGTGCAAATTAGCGCTACCATATATTATACCTGCCAAATCCAGTCGGGTCATAAACACAGCCCTAAAATTCTACTAGTTTTTCTTCAGCCAGTAACTTTTCTCATTCTTCAAAATCAATTAAGTTAAGCCTCTCTATTCTACTCAAATCTTTAACTTCCTCCTTATAAGCCGAACTCCACGTTGCTCCACATTGCTTATTGGTGCAGATGACAGTATTTAAAATGTTACAGGGAAAAGTAACAGCCACCAGCCAGGTTATCTTGCAATTTCTTCCCAGAGCTGATGTGTAATCCTATCTGCATTTGTGTCCATCTTGTATTATCTCAGGATACTAAGGAGGCTGTATACCTCCTGCTACATAAGTCCAATTCTTTACCAGTGCTTTGAATCCCATTGACATCTGAAAGTGATGCTTTTGGAGTTATGATTTCTGTCCTACAATTGTATCTTTCTTTCTCTCCTGGCTCATCTAAATTAATTTATCAACAAACGTTAATAAAACAATCTTTACTCCTTCTACCCTCTACTAGGTATTATTAGTTTGCCACTATATGGGCCAATCTGCTGTATAGTATTTCCATTGTCACAGTATCTACTTTCTCTCTTTCTACTCCCTATGTTCTTGTGATTGTACCTTCATTGCTCTCATTGGGGTCATGAAGCTGGAAAATTTAAGAGAAAGAACATTTAGAATAGATATACTGGAGAATTGGAGACACAGCTGAATAGGGGAAGCTGGAGAGATGGCATGACATCATGGGGCCTAATAAGGCTAGAGACCACTTCTCAAAGGGAAAGGAGAAATGCATTTTACCTGGAGGCATCAAGATGGGCTACATGGAGAAGATAAATTACAGCTGGACTTCACAACATGAGTTAATAGTACCATTTTCCCACATATTTCACTGATTCTGTCTTTCCTTCTATGGATGAAGGACCAAGCCCACCTGAGGATCTGAATATAGGTACTGCACCAGGAAAAACCAAGAGGTCTGCACTAGTGATGTATGTCTGTTCGTTTAGAAGTAAGCATCTTTGCTCAGGGTGCTGTCTATAGGCTTTAACTAAATCTCAGAACTTTCAAGATACCAATTTTGTACTTCCATCTTATTTTTAACAAAGTAAAAATACATATCCAGAAATGTGAAACCTACCCAAAAGTTACACTGATTCCCCCAGCATGGATCTGGAACCACTTCCCAGTAGTTTTCTGCTTTTAACTCTCCTTCTCCAAATTTCCACACATTTCTCCTCTCAGACATCCCTTCCCCTCATGAAAATCTCTCATGTAGAATGTTATTCACAAATATGTTTTTGGAAAGGGATCTTAAAACTCTTTTAATCCTGCTCCATTATTTTGTAGTATTAAATAAGATAGAAGAGGAAATTGAAACAGAATGGATAATTTACCTTTTAAAAATCAGTTAGTTTTGGGCAAATCTAGGATTAGTATCTAAGTTTCTTCCTGTTTGGAGACAGGAAATCTTTGTTGTCATTATAGTTTCACAAATTAACATTGGTAGGCTGCACAAATTAATGTCAGGAAGTCATTGTACAATTGTCTTTTTTTTTTTTTTTTTTTGTGATGGAGTCTCGTTCTGTTGCCCAGGCTGGAGTGCAGTGGCACGATCTCGTCTCACTACAACCTCCGCCCCCTGGGTTCAAACATTTCTCCTGCCTCAGCCTCCCTAATAGCTGGAATTACAGGCATGCGCCACCACGCCCGGCTAATTTTTGTATTTTTAGTAGAGACGGGGTTTCGCCATGTTGGCCAGGCTGGTCTTGAACTCCTGACCTCAGGAGATCTGCCCGTCTCGGCCTCCCAAAGTGCTGGGATTACAGACATGAACCACCTCATCCAGCTGTCAATTTTATAGATATATTTAGAGTTCCAATGTTACTTTGTTAAACTGCTATGGAGTGAACCAGAATTTTCCACCATTTGTTTGCCTAGCATAAGCTCAAAAATATTTCCTGAGAACAAATCTATAAAATAATTTTCAAAGATACATAAGCTTCCAAGGCTCTGAGTTAAGTTCCATAAAGCTCAAAGGTCTGAGGAAAATTTATCTTGAAGTTCTATCCCTACTTTTCTATTTATATGGTCAAGATAAAGTAAGTTCTCTCTAAAAGACTTTCATGTAATCATCTCCACTGACAAAATTGGAACCTGTTTCTCTTACTCTCTATTTTACTGTTTATAAACCACATAGTCAAATTATTTTTGCTTAATTTGTAAATAGGCAACTGTGTTTAATATTAGACTGTATGCAAATTGGTGATGTCTTTATGTTTGAGTCTCCTGTGCATTTGTGGTCCCAAAAACAGTAGTTAGTTAATTTAATGAGTATGTGTTGGAGTAATTTTATTGATAGGGATTCTGAAGAATGCGATCATTCAATAGATGAAAATATGGCATTTAACTTTGGATGCAAGATATTTTTATCTTAGTCAATATTTCAAAATACTATCTGTTCCACAAAAAGTCATGCATTTATTGGCCATTCAATGGACCTCATTAAACAAGCCAGACATAGACCAAGTGATGAGATAGGTGCCCATATTGTTGCTGGCATTTCTTGACATCTTGTAAGTATCAAACAGAAATGTTGGATTTGTGATTGATTATCACTCTGTATAATATGTAGAAATCATTGGCTGTAGAGATGGGAGGTACACGTTATAATAATGCACCATCCATATAGGGTAGACAGAGAAGACAACTGGAATATTATATTAATTTTATTTTTTCTTCCGATTTTTACTTTATGTTCAGAGGGTACATGTGCAGGTTTGTTACACGAGTAAATTATATGTCACAGGGTTTGCCATACAGCTTATTTTGTCATCCAGGTAATAAGCATAGCACCAGATAGGTAGCTTTTTGATCCTCACCCTTCTTTTACCATCTACCCTCAAGTGGGCCCCAGTGTCTGTTGTTCCTTCCTTTGTGTCTATGTGTACTCAATGTTTAGCTCCCACTTATAAGTGAGAACATGCAGTATTTCATTTTCTGTTCCTCTATTAATTTGCTTAGGATAATCACCTGCAGCTCAATCCATGTTGCTGCAAAGGAAATAATCTCGTTCTTTTTTATGGCTGAGTAGTATCCCATGGAGTATATGCATCACATTTTCTTTATCCAATCCACTGTTGATGGGCACCGGGGTTGATCCTACGTTTTTGCTATTGTGAATAGTGCTACAATTAGCATACGCATGCATGTGTCTTTTTGGTAGAACAATATTTTTTTTCCTTTGGGTATATATCAAATACTGGGATTGCTGGGTTGAATGGTAATTCTATTTTAAGTTTTATGAGAAATCTCCAGACTGATTTCCACAGTGACTAACCTAATTTATGTTCCCACCATTAGTGTATAAGCATTCTCTTTTATCTGTAGCCTTGCCAGCATCTGTAATTTTTTGAGTTTTTAGTAATAGCCATTCTGACTGGTGTGACATGGAATCTCCTTGTGGTTTTGATTTGTATTTTTATATTGATTAGTGATCTTGAGCATTTTTTCATATATTTGTTGGCTGCTTGTATGTCTTCTTTTGAGAAGTGTCTGTTCATGTCCTTTTCCCATTGTTTAATAGGGTTGTTTGTTTTTGCTTGTTAATTCGTTAATTCGTTTAAGTTTCTTACAGATTCTGGATATAAGACTTTTGTCAGATGCATAGTTTTCAAATATTTTCTCTCATTCTGTAGTCTGTGTGTTTACTCTGTTGATAGCTTCTTTTCTTTGCAGAAGCTCTTTAGTTTAATTAGGTCCCACTAGTCAATATTTGTTTTTGTTGCAATTGCTTTTGGAGTCTGCCATAAAATCTTTGTCAGGGCCTATGTCCAGAATGGTATTTCCTGATAACTGGGATATTTTAATTTAGCATAACACTAGTTCCATTTTTTTAATATAATGTATATTTGTATATTGCTTTATTATTTGTATGTGTTTTGTGGGGACGGGTGTGTCTATGTTAAAGTTCCTTGCAAACCCACTCCCCTGTCAAGATACTTAACACATACATACAAAAGATTGCAGTTATCCATTCAAGAAAAAAAAGGCATTACAATTATTCAGTGAATCATGAAGTTAATTTTGAATTAAGCAATAAAATCTTAAAATGGTAAAGTTGCCCATCATACACCAACTGTGGATAAAACTTATCACTTGGGAACTAACAAAGGTTAGTTTCATAGGTGACAAATACAGAGAAAAGTTTTCACTCCCTTTGCCAAAATCGGGACTAATTTCTCTAAATAATTTTAATATTTTGAAATGGTTCCAAGATTTTTTGCAGAGAACAACTTATTTTTTATAGTTTTCATCTCTATTCACAAATTCTGAATATCAAATATTTATTATTATAGACATATTTTTAGGCAACTATCTGACACAAGTTTTCAGAAATCAATTTTAATTATTCCTAAACAGACTGTAATTCTGCAATTTGAAAAATGTTGCATGCAAATAGAAAAGGCATTATGGGGTAGAATTACCTATGTAGATATATTCTTTCTATTGTAATCACCAAAATTGAGGTTCAGGTGTTGCTCATTTGACAAGAGTGAAATATCAAATTATTTTTCTTATTTTATGAATGAATCTAGGACCTATACACTAAAGGCTAAGTGCCTTTGTGCTTCCCTTCTACTTTTCCACACCTATTAGGTAATGACAGACTCAGGTTTACTATGGATTATATTTCCAGAGATGAATGAATGACCCTAATGTTCTGAGGCACATTTTTGTAAACATTATTAAAATATGTGGAAAAAATAATCATTGTCTCAATCATATACTTTAAGACAAATGCTTGTTGAGTGTCAATTGTATATTCAGCTCTGCACTAAGTCCTGGAGAAACAGAGGTTGACAGAACAGAGATGGTCCCTGAAAGCCCTCTTGTTATTTACAATTTAATGGACACTTTTGCTCATAATTACCAAACTGTTATTTAAATAGTGAATTTTCTATTAATAAATATTAAAGAGCTGTGAAAACACCACAACATAACCTGGAGTGTGTGTGAGGGAATTCTTCCCTGTGGAATGATACATGCACTGAATCATAAATGACAATTGTGAGTTGACTACACAAAGAATGAGGAAAAGATTGTTCTGTGTTAGAGGGAGCAGACTATGCAATATGCTGAAGTGAGAAGACATGATGTCAAGTTATGACATATTCCATGTTTCAATTCACCTTTTTCAAGAACAACTGCATACTATGCACTACTATGCAGGTTCCATCCTTTTATGATGCATTTGATGTGCAGTACAATGTCTTACTCCTACTCTAACTGTATTTTCCCATTTATACCTTTTTATTTAGTGGCTGTGTGTGGTTACCCTGGTGTGAGGATCTGGGGCATGTGGCAGTGGCCGCTATTATTTACGGTGCTTTCCATAAAAATGTATGACTGATGTACATTGTCCTTTGCACATTGTATGACTGACTTGCATTAATGGCTAACAGCATCACTGAAATCTCTAAAGAGTGTGAAATATTAGTGCTAAAGGGTAAAATCATAATAATTTTTTTCAAATTAAGAAAAGTAAAGGCCCACAATCTCAAGCTCAAGTAGTGACTTCACAAAATGAAATTGATTTATTCTTAATTTCCTATAAATGTAAGAGTTTTTCATGAGTCTGGTAAAGGGTAAAGACATTTTAACACATAAATGCATAGAAAGAAACCAATTATGATACTGTCTTGACACCTGCAAAAAAATTCTCCAAAGATTAGAAAGGTTAATTTTATGTGTCACATAAATTAAGTTACAGATCTATGCAGGACAAAGGACAGGTTCAGAGGAAAGTATGAACCTAAAAGCATGACAATCAACTTGGTTTTAAAAAGAAAGCATTAAATCCTTACAGACATACCAGGATGGTCTCTCATTTCTTCATATTTGGTGGGCATTCAATAACCACGGAGGAAGAATGGAAATGTGGGAAGAACATGGCTCTAACAATACAAGGTTGTTGTACTAGCCTGACTAGCCCCTTCCTGGCTTTAAGACATGGAGCAGAAGTTGTCATTTCTTTGTTCTGCACACTTAAAATGAAGGCTTAGGTTATTTAAGGTTGAACATTTGGGACCCTGTATAATTTTACTGTGTTTTAGTTATTGTTTCCTAAGGCAAAAATACTCTGTTTTAATATTTTTATAAATCTAATTTTCATTCTCACATCACACTGTCTTTCCAACCCTGTTCTCCTAAACTTAAAAATACCAAAGTGAGAATACTGACATTATTGTGGTTGAAATTATGCATATGTATTACTGGAAAGTGTCAAATAATACAATGGAATCCCCCAGTCCTGGTTTCTGGAGCAATTTATTTTAATCTTTTTTATTATTGTTCTGGTGAGGGTTATTTTCATAATTCTAAATGTTGATCCTATTGCTGAGTAATGTGCTGTAGCCATCTATTATCTTCTTGTCATAAAGCAGGGATCAGAGACACTTATGTTTGTGAATAAGGTTTTCTTGGAAAGCAGCCAGCTCCATTTTGCTGCTTATTATCTAGAGATGTTTTCTCGCTTAGCAACAGAGTTGAGTGCTGCATAGCTTCTGCAGGAGACCTTCTGGCACACAAAGTCAAAAATATCTACTCTCTGACCTTGTACAAGATGTTTGTTGACCCCTGCCATAAAGGACAGGATGAGGCTTTGCCACATTTCTAAGCTCTTCTATTTCCCCTTCCTTTATGAACTTCTTAGAACTAAAATAAGTAATACCATTTGTTCTTCTGTCAACTACGCTTGGAATTCCTTTGTAAAAAAATGTAAACTTCCCTTTTGACAGTTTATCTTAAGTTTCTAACATAAAATGAGGATCTCTACATCCTCACACTGCCCATCATGTTTCCTCCCTCCTATCTGTCTTCTCTGGAATTCTACGATTTTGTTATCTTGAATGGGTCAGTACAATTCACCCAGCTTGCTTCTCATTGAGCCGTTTCCATTCAAAATGTGGCAGCCTCACCAACAACCCTGATCTCTTATTCTTGGATGCATAGGATGGCTACATCTTTCTGACACTTTCAGTTAGACAGGACGATGAAATCAATTTCTGGCCAATGGAATATGAACAAAAACAATCACAACTTCTAGCTTGCCCTTACACTTGATGCTTGCATTTTCCTCATGCAGAAACTAAATACGGAAGTCTTAAAAAATGTAGAGGCCAGTGGAGCTACAAGATAAAAGGTTAGTGACTATTCTGTCAACAAGCACTGTACTATGACATGAAAGAGAGATTATCATTTATCATGTAAGCAACCAAGGTCCTTTTCCACCATCCAACTGAAATGAAGCTTAGTCTATCCTCGTTAATAAAAAGAATGCTCTACCTTTGTAATTTAATGAATTCATTTTTTGCTGTTACCTTTACCTTCTTCTTAGAGAATATATGATTCTTAGAATATTTTAACCCCACATATAGCCTTCAAAATTATATGCTATTGCTGTCACATATTTTAGCACTAAATATTTTAATACCTGTAAGATATTCTTATGATTGCTCATTTAGGTAGTCATCGTTCATTCAGAAATTGAAACAATGTTTATTTGAATTAAAATCTTGAATATTTCCTCTACTAACATTGTTCTTTTGCCTGATAATTAAATTTTCTGTTAGTGTGGGGTCTGTGTGACAAATTTCTTCAGCTTGTTTTTTTCTGTTTGTGCATATGTGTGTGCCTGAAAATAGCTTTACTTCACCTGAATTCTTAAAAATTTTTCTAAATATAGAATTATTGTCTGGCATGTATCCCTTTTTATCACCCTAAAGGTAGGATTCTTACTGCATTTGCTTCTAATATTGCTCCTGAGAAGACAGCTGTCTGTCTAAATGCCATCCCTTTACGGTTAATCTGCCTTTTTTCCTGGCTATATTTTATTTCAAGATTTTTGTCTGGTCTTTTATTTTCTGAAGTTTAATATGTGTCTAGGAAGATTTATTTTATTATTTTAAGTTTTATTCGGCTTCTTTAAGAGTAAAATGATGCTTTTTAAATCATTTCTGGAAATTATTTTCACTATGGTTCATTAGACATTAACTCTGCCCCACTATCTCTGTTTTCCATTTAGGAGTTAAATCAAATGGAAGATAGGCCTTCTCTTCATACTGTCTATTTTGTGGTCTATTTTGGGTCTGGTTGGTCTATTTTGTTTACCTGTTTTATTATGTTTTTTGATTTTCGCTTTCGATGTATTTTGTCTCCATGATTATTTGCTGGATATAATTTTGAGAATTTTTTTTTTTTTTTTTGAGACAGAGTCTCGCTCTGTCATCCATGCTGGAGTGCAATGGCATGATCTCGGCTCACTGAAACCTCCATTCCCTGGGTTCAAGCGATTCTCCTGCCTCGGCCTCCTGAGTAGCTGGGATTACAGGCGGCGCTTGCCACTGCACCCGGCTAATTTTTGTATTTTTAGTACAGACAGGGTTTCACCATCTTGGCCAGGCTGGTCTTGAGCTCCTGATCTCGTGATCAACTCGCCGTGGCCTCCCAAAGTGCTAGGATTACAGGCATGAGCCACCGCGCCGGCTGTGATATTCTTTGAAATCACCTTTATTCCTTAAAATAAGATTTTCTTTTCTTTGTCGATCACCTGAATATGCTAGCAGTCCAGAGCCTGTGACTGAACTGATCTTGAGTTTAGCAATATCTATTTCTCTAGCTACAGTGTGTGGCCATTAGGAGTCCCAGTCCAGAGCAGAAATTGCATTCCTGGTCTTCATCTTTACTAGATACTGAATATAAATTCTATTTCTTGTTGGAGTACCACTTCCAAGTATGAAGTTCTTCCTTTGGTGACTTTTCTCAGACCCAAAGTAAATATAGTAGCTCTTGGGTCCCAACAAAATGTATGTGAAGTCTTCTCCACAAATGGTGGCTCCATCTTTGGTTGCCCAAACATTCTGACTCCTCTCTCCCTGACTTCTGAGTTTCTCTAATGCAAATCTCTGAGTCTTCTGTGTTGCTCTGAATTCTACTGGCAAACGCTTCTGAGCAGAAACAGCTCTGTTCCCTTCTTGAGGATGTAAGCCTTTCTCATTGCTTAAACCATTCATTTGTCATGATCTTATAAGGTCCTTGATGTTCAGATATTTTCTGTGTTTCATTTTTAGAAAATTTTTGAGCAGGATGGTTAGTTTAAATCAACTATTCCTTAATTACCAGAACCATTATGTCCTTGAAAATATCACTTTTATTTTTCCCTTTTCTCTCTTTCTAGAACTTTCGTTCATTGGGTGTTACAGCATCTATCTTGTCAGTTTATGAGGCTGACATTCTGGAGAAATTTTTCTCTCTCTCTCACCCTATTAAATGGGTGGTTGTGTTATTTTAACTTCTATTTCTTCTACTGTAAAAATGGCTTTTATTTTGAAGTAAACTTTTAATTTTTTTGTGTCATTTGTCAAGTAACCCTGGTATTCTTTATGGTTGTACTTATTTCACAAGTCTCTCTGAGTGGTATGTGATTTTTGAACATTCTATCTTCTTTTATAAATTATCTGTTTCTTCTGAGGTCACTTGTACATCTGATTTGTCTTGCTTTTCACATTATACTCCATTCAAATGTCTTGTCAACCTTTGCTGCTTCTTCATATTTAAGAATAAAGGGATCAGAAGCATGGCTGGGACCTCTGTGCTTGGCTTTCTATTTGGCAGGCTTTGATGTAGGGTGAGTGGACAGGGAGAGAGTTAACGGTTATACTGAAGGCTGATTGGCAGATTTGTGACACTTATCTTTCAAATATTTTATATAATATGTTACTAACTCTTGTTCTGAATCAGCCATGAGATAAAAGTAAAGCACATTGTTAAACAAAGAACGTAGAATTAATTTCCCCCAATAATAATTAAGAAAGATTGGGAAAAACTTTGAAAGAAATTTTAAAAGCCACTCAAAGCTTACGATTGGAAAGATTTATGGTACGGGAAGCATGCTTTATCTTTTGGTGTTTGACAAGTCAAAATGGATGTAGAAACATGGAATCTTAGTGTTGGGATTGTATTGATTGGTATTCTAACTCAATTTCCTTTTTGCACAGATTTACCTTTACTATGATAGCCCTTTCTCCCAGATCAAAGCAGAGAGGTCATAATTTGGAAGAAAAACAAAAAACACTATCTTTTAGGTTAGACTGATATAATTGTTAAAAGTTCTTCCCTGTGAAGTGTATGTGCCAATTTGACTGTGACATATATTGACTGTGACATATATTATGCCTTTATGGAAGGCATTTCATTATATAGTCTGTAAACATCAGCATATATTAATAATTGATGCAATTTTTGATAAGGGAAAATAGTAGTTTGCATTTATCTGGTTTGTGAATACAGCAGATTGGCAAATACATGGGTAAACAGAGCTTTAGGCATGATGATTAGTGGATCAACAAAAATGAAAAAACTACCTTCAAGATACTTAGAAGAATAACAGGAAAGCAATGCAAATGCCATAATCAAACATCCTGTTCAGTCTGAATAAAGTAACTTCTATAATGTAATCCATACCTAAGAGGCTTAATAAATATTTGCAAATATTTTTGTTGTATTTTCATTAGTAGTTCAGTCTTACCTCTAAACCAACATACAGTATCCTTTCGGCAAACCTTAAGTAGCATAATTCTACATCTTAGACTTAGTCAAAAGCTCAACTAACTCCCCTCCCCTCCCCTCCCCTCCCTCCCTCCCTCCCTCTGTCCCTCCCCGCCCCCCTCCCATTCCTTCCTTCCTTCTACCTCTTTCTCCTATAGGTATACACTTTTTATTTTAGTGCATTCAGGATAGTTTCAATAATAAGGTGAGTAAGTTTTCATAGCCTAAACCTAGTCTTCATTAACATTATTGAATTATGTCAAAAGCCACTTAAAATAGTGCATTTGTCTATCTCTTTTAAAATTAAGGGTTGTCTGAAGTTTTATGAAGCATCCTAGAGTCAAATCATCAGGTCAGTAAAGACAATGGGGATCCAAAATACACATCAAATGAAGTGGCTCACATATCTTATCAGCTTTAAAGCATAAATTTTGGCTCATTTATTATTTATGACCAATTTAATATGATAAATTCACATTTATTAAAGAATTAAAGAAATTGCCTCAAACAGAAAATGTGATAATTATATCTTGAGGATGTGCATTTGAACTTTCTAAACAGTAAAACAATTTAAAACTTTTAAACAGCAAAAATGGTTGTGTAAAGTGTTCTTTTATTCAGATGATAGGTAAATAAGAAAACTGTGTGAGTTTTTCTTTCTTTCTTTCTTTCGTTTGAGACAAAGTCTCACTCTGTCGCCAGGCTGGAGTGGAGTGGCACTATCTCGGCTCACTGCAACTTCCGCCTCCCGATTTCAAGTGATTCTCCTGCCTCAGCCTCCCGAGTAGCTGAGACTACAGGCACACCAGTTCCCAAAGTGTTGGGGTTACAGGCATGAGCCACCACACGCGGCCTTTTTTTCTTTTCTTTTCTTTTTTTTCAATTTGGAGTCTCACTCTGTTGCTCAGGCTAGAGTGCAGTGGCACAATCTCGGCTGACTGCAACCTCCACCTCCGGGGTTGAAGCGATTCTCCTGCCTCAGCCTCCTGAGTAGCTGGGACTATAGGCGTGTGCCACCACGCCTGGCTAATTTTTGTATTTTTAGTCGAGATGGGGTTTCACCATATTGATCAGGCTAGTCTCGAACTCCTGACCTTGTGATATGCCCACCTCAGCCTCCCAAAGTGCTGGGATTACAGGCGTGAGCCACCACGCCTGGCCAACTGTGTGAAATTTAAGGGTATTAAAATATGTTATGTTCTCTTTAGAATTAAAACTACATTTTTGCTTATTAATACCACATATGTTAGGGTGGACTTTCTATCTCTTACTAGTAACTACATAGCATTAACAGAATATATTTGTTGTAAAATGATATAATGATATAAATCTGGACAATACCTCCACCTCTCTACCACACACACACACACACACACACACACACACACACACACATTGGTATATAATTTATCAGTACCTTTAGCTACATATACAAACCCTCAAGAGTAATACACATTTTTTTCAGTGAAATAAGGATCGTGGAAGTAAGCAATTGAGTGCTGGTGCAGTGGTTCTAATTTTCTCACAGTCATTCTTAGCCTGCTTCACTTACAGTTTCAAGGTGGCCACTCATACTTTCAGTTATTGAACCTGGACTTCAGGCAGGAACACAGGGTAAGAGCAAAGGATAAAATGTACATGACAGCTGAGTCTGGCTCTTTACATCAGGAGAAAAGTATCTTCCCAAAAGCACCACCCAATATAATTCCATACAAATACCATTGACCAGCATTTGGTCTAATGGACACCCCTGCCTATAAAAGCATCCTAGAAGGTAAGTACTTTAGATAAAGGACATTGGCATCCCAACAAAAGTTGAGTTCTATTAGTTACAAGAAAAATGAGGAAAGAAGGAAAAATAATAGTATGTTAAAATAGATTTTTTTTTGTTTCTGTAGGGTTTCAGGGATGTTATTTTATATGAGAGATTTTCAACACGGCTATGTTAAAGAAAATGTGGATAAACAGTGTCAAAAATAAATCACAGTAAAATCATATGTGAAATGAGGGAAGGACAAACCTTACTCAGATTATGTAGAGTGATCAGAATTATCTAGAAGATCAGCACACTGAAATATAGGCATGATATTTCTGGGTAAAATAAGGAAGATTATTAGTATAAATTATCAAGACAGTGCCAAGAATGCTAGGCATATTGATACTGGAAAATTATCATGGTACAGACTTTTATAGGGGAGATAAGTAAGAGATGAGCAAGCTCTGGGATGTCCTAAACACAGACTCAAAATAATGCTTACTGATGGTCTATTATCTGCAAAGCTGTAAGTGTTGCTAATAAAGTTAGTCTTTTACTAGGTCACAGTTAAATTCAGGATCAGTTTTCAATATTGTGTGAATATACTGATCCCTTTATTTTTTACTTTACTTATATACCATATAAACTCCCATCCCAGCCCTTCCCCCTAGTAGATAATTTTCTGTTGAAATTGTGAGAGAATCCATGATAGCCCCATCAAAACCAAAAAATAAACAAAAAAAAATGAGCCTTTCATATACCAGTATAGGGATCAATAGAGAAAACTTTCCCCTTCTAGAGAATACATGAGCACAATATAAGCTGGAAAAATAGTACTCAGCGTTTATTGGTTTAGTTTCAATGGAGAGACTTTAGAAGACAGAGGTAGAGGTAAGTTTTACTACAGTCATTGATCTTTTACCTAGAACTTATCTAGAATTGCCCTCTGTCTAGCTGAGTACTGAACAGCATAAATAAATTAAAGAGGGAGGAGCCAAGATGGCCGAATAGGAACAGCTCCGGTCTACAGCTCCCAGCGTGAGCTACGCAGAAGACGGTTATTTCTGCATTTCCATCTGAGGTACCGGGTTCATCTCACTAGGGAGTGCCAGACAGTGGGCGCAGGTCAGTGAGTGCGCGCACCGTGCGTGAGCCGAAGCAGGGCGAGGCATTGCCTCACTTGGGAAGCGCAAGGGGTCAGGGAGTTCCCTTTCCGAGTCAAAGAAAGGGGTGACAGACAGCACCTGGAAAATCGGGTCACTCCCACCCGAATACTGCGCTTTTCCGACGGGCTTAAAAAATGGCGCACCACAGGATTATATCCCGCACCTGGCTTGGAGGGTCCTACGCCCACGGAGTCTCGCTGATTGCTAGCACAGCAGTCTGAGATCAAACTGCAAGGCGGCAGCGAGGCTAGGGGAGGGGTGCCCGACATTGTCCAGGCTTGATTAGGTAAACAAAGCATCTGGGAAGCTCGAACTGGGCGGAGCCCACCACAGCTCAAGGAGGCCTGCCTGCCTGCCTCTGTAGGCTCCACCTCTGGGGGCAGGGCACAGACAAACAAAAAGACAGCAGTAACCTCTGCAGACTTAAATGTCCCTGTCTGACAGCTTTGAAGAGAGCAGTGGTTCTCCCAGCACGCAGCTGGAGATCTGAGAACGGGCAGACTGCCTCCTCAAGTGGGTCCCTGACCCCTGAACAGCCTAACTGGGAGGCACCCCCTAATAGGGGCACACTGACACCTCACACGGCAGGGTACTCCAACAGACCTGCAGCTGAGGGTCCTGTCTGTTAGAAGGAAAACTAACAAACAGAAAGGACATCCACACCAAAAACCCATCTGTACATCACCATCATCAAAGACCAAAGTAGATAAAACCACAAAGATGGGGAAAAAACAGAAAAGAAAAACTGGAAACTCTAAAAAGCAGAGCAGCTCTCCTCCTCCAAAGGAACGCAGTTCCTCACCAGCAACAGAACAAAGCTGGATGGAGAATGACTTTGACGAGCTGAGAGAAGAAGGCTTCAGACGATCAAATTACTCCGAGCTACGGGAGGACATTCAAACCAAAGGCAAAGAAGTTGAAAACTTTGAAAAAAATTTAGAAGAATGTATAACTAGAATAACCAATACAGAGAAGTGCTTAAAGGAGCTGATGGAGCTGAAAACCAAGGCTCGAGAACTACGTGAAGAATGCAGAAGCCTCAGGAGCCGATGCGACCAACTGGAAGAAAGGGTATCAGCAATGGAAGATGAAATGAATGAAATGAAGCGAGAAGGGAAGTTTAGAGAAAAAAGAATAAAAAGAAATGAGCAAAGCCTCCAAGAAATATGGGACTATGTGAAAAGACCAAATCTACGTCTGATTGGTGTACCTGAAAGTGATGGGGAGAATGGAACCAAGTTGGAAAACACTCTGCAGGATATTATCCAGGAGAACTTCCCCAATCTAGCAAGGCAGGCCAACGTTCACATTCAGGAAATATAGAGAACGCCACAAAGATACTCCTCGAGAAGAGCAACTCCAAGACACATAATTGTCAGATTCACCAAAGTTGAAATGAAGGAAAAAATCTTAAGGGCAGCCAGAGAGAAAGGTTGGGTTACCCTCAAAGGGAAGCCCATCAGACTAACAGCGGATCTCTCGGCAGAAACCCTACAAGCCAGAAGAGAGTGGGGGCCAATATTCAACATTCTTAAAGAAAAGAATTTTCAACCCAGAATTTCATATCCAGCCAAACTAAGCTTCATAAGTGAAGGAGAAATTAAATACTTTACAGACAAGCAAATGCTGAGAGATTTTGTCACCACCAGGCCTGCCCTAAAAGAGCTCCTGAAGGAAGCGCTAAACATGGAAAGGAACAACCGGTACCAGCTGCTGCAAAATCATGCCAAAATGTAAAGACCATCGAGACTAGGAAGAAACTGCGTCAACTAACGAGCAAAATCACCAGCTAACATCATAATGACAGGATCAAATTCACACATAACAATATTAACTTTAAATGTAAATGGACTAAATGCTCCAATTAAAAGACATAGACTGGCAAATTGGATAAAGAGTCAAGACCCATCAGTGTGCTATATTCAGGAAACCCATCTCACGTGCAGAGACACACATAGGCTCAAAATAAAAGGATGGAGGAAGATCTACCAAGCAAATGGAAAACAAAAAAAGGCAGGGGTTGCAATCCTAGTCTCTGATAAAACAGACTTTAAACCAACAAAGATCAAAAGAGACAAAGAAGGCCATTACATAATGGTAAAGGGATCAATTCAACAAGAAGAGCTAACTATCCTAAATATATATGCACCCAATACAGGAGCACCCAGATTCATAAAGCAAGTCCTGTGTGACCTACAAAGAGACTTAGACTCCCACACATTAATAATGGGAGACTTTAACACCCCACTGTCAACATTAGACAGATCAACGAGACAGAAAGTCAACAAGGATACCCAGGAATTGAACTCAGCTCTGCACCAATCGGACCTAATAGACATCTACAGAACTCTCCACCCCAAATCAACAGAATATACATTTTTTTCAGCACCACACCACACCTGTTCCAAAATTGACCACATAGTTGGAAGTAAAGCTCTCCTCAGCAAATGTAAAAGAACAGAAATTATAACAAACTATCTCTCAGACCACAGTGCAATCAAACTAGAACTCAGGATTAAGAATCTCACTCAAAGCCGCTCAACTACATGGAAACTGAACAACCTGCTCCTGAATGACTACTGGGTACATAACGAAATGAAGGCAGAAATAAAGATGTTCTTTGAAACCAACGAGAACAAAGACACGACATACCAGAATCTCTGGGACGCATTCAAAGCAGTGTGTAGAGGGAAATTTATAGCACTAAATGCCCACAAGAGAAAGCAGGAAAGATCCAAAATTGACACCCTAACATCACAATTAAAAGAACTAGAAAAGCAAGAGCAAACACATTCAAAAGCTAGCAGAAGGCAAGAAATCACTAAAATCAGAGCAGAACTGAAGGAAATAGAGAAACAAAAAAACCATTCAAAAAATCAATGAATCCAGGAGCTGGTTTTTTGAAAGGATCAACAAAATTGATAGACCGCTAGCAAGACTAATAAAGAAAAAAAGAGAGAAGAATCAAATAGACACAATAAAAAATGATAAAGGGGATATCACCACCGATCCCACAGAAATACAAACTACCATCAGAGAATACTACAAACACCTCTACGCAAATAAACTGGAAAATCTAGAAGAAATGGATAAATTCCTCGACACATACACTCTCCCAAGACTAAACCAGGAAGAAGTTGCATCTCTGAATAGACCAATAACAGGAGCTGAAATTGTGGCAATAATCAATAGTTTACCAACCAAAAAGAGTCCAGGACCAGATGGATTCACAGCCGAATTCTACCAGAGGTACCAGGAGGAACTGGTACCATTCCTTCTGAAACTATTCCAATCAATAGAAAAAGAGGGAATCCTCCCTAACTCATTTTAATGAGGCCAGCATCATTCTGATACCAAAGCCGGGCAGAGACACAACCAAAAAAGAGAATTTTAGACCAATATCCTTGATGAACATTGATGCAAAACTCCTCAATAAAATACTGGCAAACCGAATCCAGCAGCACATCAAAAAGCTTATCCACCATGATCAAGTGGGCTTCATCCCTCGGATGCAAGGCTGGTTCAATATACGCAAATCAATAAATGTAATCCAGCATATAAACAGAGCCAAAGACAAAAACCACATGATTATCTCAATAGATGCAGAAAAGGCCTTTGACAAAATTCAACAACCCTTCATGCTAAAAACTCTCAATAAATTAGGTATTGATGGGACGTATTTCAAAATGATAAGAGCTATCTATGACAAACCCACAGCCAATATCATACTGAATGGGCAAAAACTGGAAGCATTCCCTTTGAAAACTGGCACAAGACAGGGATGCCCTCTCTCACCACTCCTATTCAACATAGTGTTGGAAGTTCTGGCCAGGGCAATCAGGCAGGAGAAGGAAATAAAGGGTATTCAATTAGGAAAAGAGGAAGTCAAATTGTCCCTGTTTGCAGACGACATGATTGTATATCTAGAAAACCCCATTGTCTCAGCCCAAAATCTCCTTAAGCTGATAAGCAACTTCAGCAAAGTCTCAGGATACAAAATCAATGTGCAAAAATCACAAGCATTCTTATGCACCAACAACACACAAACAGAGAGCCAAATCATGAGTGAACTCCCATTCACAATTGCTTCAAAGAGAATAAAATACCTAGGAATCCAACTTACAAGGGATGTGAAGGACCTCTTCAAGGAGAACTACAAACCACTGCTCAAAGAAATAAAAGAGGATACAAACAAATGGAAGAACATTCCATGCTCATGGGTAGGAAGAATCAATATTGTGAAAATGGCCATACTGCCCAAGGTAATTTCTAGATTCAATGCCATCCCCATCAAGCTACCAATGACTTTCTTCACAGAATTGGAAAAAACTACTTTAAAGTTCATATGGAACCAAAAAAGAGCCCGCATCGCCAAGTCAATCCTAAGCCAAAAGAACAAAGCTGGAGGCATCACACTACCTGACTTCAAACTATACTACAAGGCTACAGTAACCAAAACAGCATGGTACTGGTACCAAAACAGAGATATAGATCAATGGAACAGAACAGAGCCCTCAGAAATAACGCCGCATATCTACAACTATCTGATCTTTGACAGACCTGAGAAAAACAAGCAATGGGGAAAGGATTCCCTATTTAATAAATGGTGCTGGGAAAACTGGCTAGCCATATGTAGAAAGCTGAAACTGGATCCCTTCCTTACACCTTATACAAAAATCAATTCAAGATGGATTAAAGATTTAAACGTTAGACCTAAAACCATAAAAACCCTAGAAGAAAACCTAGGCATTACCATTCAGGACATAGGCATGGGCAAGGACTTCATGTCCAAAACACCAAAAGCAATGGCAACAAAAGAAAAAATTGACAAATGGGATCTAATTAAAATAAAGAGCTTCTGCACAGCAAAAGAAACTACCATCAGAGTGAACAGGCAACCTACAAAATGGGAGAAAATTTTCGCAACCTACTCATCTGACAAAGGGCTAATATCCAGAATCTACAATGAACTCAAACAAATTTACAAGAAAAAAACAAACAACCCCATCAAAAAGTGGGCGAAGGACATGAACAGACACTTCTCAAAAGAAGACATTTATGCAGCCAAAAAACACATGAAAAAATGCTCATCATCACTGGCCATCAGAGAAATGCAAATCAAAACCACTATGAGATACCATCTCACACCAGTTAGAATGGCAATCATTAAAAAGTCAGGAAACAACAGGTGCTGGAGAGGATGTGGAGAAACAGGAACATTTTACACTGTTGGTGGGACTGTAAACTAGTTCAACCATTGTGGAAGTCAGTGTGGCGATTCCTCAGGGATCTAGAACTAGAAATACCATTTGACCCAGCCATCCCATTACTGGGTATATACCCAAATGACTATAAATCATGCTGCTATAAAGACACATGCACACGTATGTTTATTGCGGCATTATTCACAATAGCAAAGACTTGGAACCACCCCAAATGTCCAACAATGATAGACTGGATTAAGAAAATGTGGCACATATACACCATGGAATACTATGCAGCCATAAAAAATGATGAGTTCACGTCCTTTGTAGGGACATGGATGAAATTGGAAATCATCATTCTCAGTAAACTATCGCAAGAACAAAAAACCAAACACCGCATATTCTCACTCATAGGTGGGAATTGAACAATGAGATCACATGGACACAGGAAGGGGAATATCACACTCTGGGGACTGTTGTGGGGTGGGGGGAGGGGGGAGGGATAGCATTGGCAGATATACCTAATGCTAGATGACGAGTTAGTGGGTGCAGCGCACCAGCACGGCACATGTATACATATGTAACTAACCTGCACAATGTGCACATGTACCCTAAAACTTAAAGTATAATAAAAAAAAAAAGAAATTAAAAAAAAAAAAATAAATAAATAAATAAATTAAAGAGGAACTCATAGGAAAAGAGAGCTCTTTTATGGCTACTGGTAGGACTTTTAGAAAAACTTTTGGTTTAATCATAGGATTTTGGCTCACATGATGAGGGCTACAGAAACCTCTTTTGGTTGGGATCTAGAGGAAGATAAGAAGAATGCTTTTGCTATTTGTGTCAAACTCAACTCTCAAGAAAATTCTGAAATAAACCTTGCTGACTTTTCCTTTTCCTTTACACTATGCCACCATTGAGCTAAATAGACAGCAGAATAAAAAAATATATCATGAAAACAATTCATATTGCCTCAGGAAAAAAAGCTACTTTGATACTGAATTAAAGTAACTGATTAAGGACAAAGAGAATTCAATACCCTTTACACCTTGCTATTTACAAACACAGGTTAACTAAATATTTCAGCCGAAGTGTGTGTATTTTAAAAAGGTACTGCTAGCATTCTTATTTATTTCCCATTAGGCATTACAGCTTATTATGTTTTCTACAACACACTCTTTGGAATAAATAATAATATTGAAAATGGTTTTGGTCAATGCATTGTAAAGTTTAAAATTTTTGTTTTAAAATAAGACTTCTGCTTCCAACAAAGATGGAATAAAGTGATAATATTTAGCTGGCTACCTGAAACAACCGTGAAAAAACACAAAGTTCAAAAGATGAAACATGGCCAAGTGTGCTGGCTGTTGCCAGTAATCCTAGCTACTCAGGAAGCTGAAGTTGGAGGATCACTTGAGGCCCGTAGTTTGAGACCAGAAGTTTGAGACCAGCCTGAGTGACAGAGGAAGACCTTGTCCCTTAAAAAAAAAAAATTAAAACAAAAAAGCTGAAACAACATTTTTCAAGACACTGGACTTCAGGCAAGAAAAGACAGTGACCCCTGAGAAATAGAAAATAAATTAGACGAGCCTTATAATTGCAACAGGGAGCTTTCAGTCCACAGTGCAAAAGGGGAAATATAGGTCAGGAATAGCCAACATCTTGACTTACAGAGACAGATATGGGAGTCTGGGGAGACCAAAGCGGCTACAGCTGGCAAGACAGATTACCTGGGAGAAGGGAAATGCAAAGAAAAAAACCTAGGAAAATCATCAGCAGATACACCTTAAATATTCAGCAGAGTAATGAGCAATGCATGAATTGGAGGAAACTAGAATGTGAAGAATATTTGCTCTTCGAGAATAGTGCCAGTTCCCACTATCCAAATTGGAAAAATATATGATTCGAGGGGCATAATTCATGGAGTAGGGTACTTAGAAGAGTTTTGCCATGGAAATAGAGAATAGATAGCCCAAGACTAAAGAAGCTTCTGACCCTATCTAATATTAAAAGCAAGCCTTTAGAGGACAAAGTATTTCCAAGAACCTTAACTACATTTGGAAACAAAGATCAGGAATATCTGTGGGAATACAAAAATATTCATCATTTAATTAGATTAAGAACGCAATGTTGGCCAAGGACAGTGGTTCATGCCTGTAATCCCAGCACTTTGGGAGGCCTAGGCGGGCACATCACCAGAGGTCAGGCATTCAAGACCAGTCTGGCCAACATCGTGAAACCCTGTCTCTACTAAAAATACAAAAATTAACCAGGCGTGGTGGCAGGCGCCTGTAATCCCAGCTACTCGGGAGGCTGAGGCAGGAGAATCACTTGAACCTGCTAGGAGGAGGTTGCAGTGAGCCGAGATCATACCGTCACACTCCAACCTGCGGGACAAAAGCGATACTTCATCCAAAAAAACAAAACAAAAAACAAAACAAAACAAAACAAAAAAACACAATGTTTAGTATCCAATGAATGATGATTGGGGATGCAAAGAAAGATAGAAATATAACCCAGAATGAAGAGAAAAATCAATCAATCAAAATTGTGAACTGCCACACTGTTGCATTTATCTGGCAAAGATATTTAAACAATTATAACTGTATTATACATGTGCAAGAGGTTAAGAAGAGACATGGAAGATATAAAAAGACCTCAACAACTTCTGGAAATGAAAATTACAATATATGAGGTCACATATACACTAGAGGAGAATGAAAGCAGATCATGTGTTGCAGAAAAGATAATACATTTGAAGACATAGAAAAAGAAACTATGTAAAAGAGACACAAAGAAAAATTAATGATAATTTTTATAAAATAATTAAAATTTATCACAGAGTTGTGGAACGTCAAATTCTCTAGCATACATACAACTGATGTTTTCAACAAAGATGAGGGGAAAATGGGGAACAAGAGAAATGTTTGAAGAAATAATGGCCAAAAACTTCTTCAAATGCTCTGAAAGCTGTCTACCAACAGATCCAAAATACTCAGTGAATCACAAACACGAAATGCGTGCGGACAACATCAAGAATATAGTTAAAATCCATCAGTGGGTTTTCCTGCAGTAATTATTACTGTGGTGATTTTTTATTTCTTTCACTCCTTCTACATTTGTTCATTGCAATTCTTCCAAAAGGAAAATAAAATTTCCCTATTATCTTGTTTATTTACTTCGTCATTTGTTTATATCGCTCAGCAGTAATGGGTATCTATGTTTTGGGCTATATTACAATAGTATTAGAGTTTACTTTCTCTGCTTAAATTGTTCCAGTTGTGTGTAGCCATTGAGAGTTCTTTCAAATTGGCTTTTGATATGTCCGCATGTCTTCATCCTCCTCATTTCCCTTTTTTGTTTTTGTTTGTTTGTTTTGTTTTTTGGTATTTTTCTTACTTTCCAGTACCACGATTCCTCAAGATTATCTTGTAATTTTCCTACCCAAGATACGGTATTTTTTTTTTTTTTTTTTTTTTTTTGAGACGGAGTCTCGCTCTGTCACCCAGGCTGGAGTGCCGTGGCGCGATCTCGGCTCACTGCAAGCTCCGCCTCCCGGGTTCACGCCATTCTCCTGCCTCAGCCTCCTGAATAGCTGGGACTACAGGCGCCCGCCACCATGCCCAGCTAATTTTTTGTATTTTTTAGTAGAGATGGAGTTTCACCGTGTTAGCCAGGATGGTCTCAATCTCCTGACCTCGTGATCCGACCGCCTCGGCCTCCCAAAGTGCTGGGATTACAGACGTGAGCCACCGCGCCCGGCCCTAGGATACAGTATTAAACATTTTAATCCACACTAAAAAAAAAAAATCCATGAGTTCATGATGATAACTCATGCACCAATTTGGCATCACCAGATATATTCAGCATTCTCCATTTTCATATTTGTAACATCTTTCTCCAACATGAAAAACCAGGTGGTTTTCTTATGTATAATGGATTCACTCATTTATTCAACAGTAATATAAGTATACATGTAACATAGTTGCAGACATTCTAACTCATACTTCTATGAAAAACAAGTTTACTTACTAGAATGTATATTATCACTATAGTGTCTAGTCAAAACCGGTTTTCCAAAGTTACCTAGGTCATCTGCCTTCCTTCTTCCCCATGCCTTTCACAGTGGCTACGCCATTTTATTTATAATACACATTGATCCATTTTTGCAACAATCTTTATTCCCTAACAACTTGAATTATCTGTTAATTTACATACAGTAAAAGGTACTCTTTGTGGTGTACAGTACAATTTATTTTGACTAATGCATAGATTTGTCAACATGGAACCAATACAGAATGGTTTCATCATTAAGTACTGCTTAGAGAGCTTTATAACTTAGATGTTTATATTAGAAAATAACATAAATCTCAAATTTCCCTTAAAATTTTGAAAATTAGAAAATTAAACCTAAATCAAGGAAAGGGAAGAAAATAAAAATCAAACAGAATTAATAAAATGGAGAAGAGAAGAAAAAAGAGAAACTCAAAGACAACAGAAAGGGAAAACAATAGAGGAAATAAAAACAAAAGCTAGTTCCTAATGGATTGTATAAAAATATCAATAAAATTGGTAGTCTTACAAAGAAAGAAAAAAAAGACAAAAACAAGAAAGATGGCATGTTTCAGAGACTACTGTCATTAAATAATAATGAACATTAGGAACAACTACTTTACAATAAATATGGCAATCTTGGGAAAATACAAAAATTTCCTTGATAGGCACAAATTGCTAAAATTAACCAAATAAGAATTAGAAACTTGAACAGCCCTCTATCAATTAAAGAATTTGACTTAATTATAAAACAACCCGTAACAAAATTCCAAGTACTGGGTCACTTCCCAGGTAAATTTTGTTCAGCATTTAAGTAAAAAATCACACCTATTCTAACTAAACATCTTTGGAAAATTGAGGAAGAAATGTATTCTACTTTACTTTGTGAGAACAATATTACTATGATAAAAACAAAGACAATATAAGAAAGAACTATAAAACAATAATTCCTCTTAAATATAGATGCAAAAATTCTTAGCAATATGTTAGCATACAACTACAACAATATATAGGATAGATAATGCTTTATTCCAAGTGTGTTTTATTCTTGGAATACAAGATTAATTTAATATAAAATATCTATCAGTGTAATCACCATAATAATAAAAGAAAAGAAAAAACAATGTTTTTCAATAGATGTAGAAAAATAATCGACAAAATTCAACATGTCTTCAATAAGAGCTCTCAGGAAACTAGGAATACAAGGAAATTTCTTCAACCTGATTAAAAGATGTCTACAAAAAATCTATAGCTAACATTACAATCAATGGAAGATGCCTCTATTTGTTCTACCTAAGATTATAAACAAACAAGGATGGCTATTCTCACTACTTGCATTGGACAGTATACTAGAGACCATTGCAAGTAACTGAGGCAAGAAGAAGAAATAAACGAAAATTCAAACTAAAATCAAAACAAATATCTATGATAATGATAAAACGTTCCAAGAACTTCTCTTGGTGTTAAATGCTAGGATCACAAATATGGGTATATTATCTGCCATCAGTATGATAAATACTGTCAAACAAAATATTAAAGCAAGTTTAGTTATAGGTGTCATTGGCATGTGTTTGTGATCCATAAATCAAAGTAATTTCCATTCTACAACATACAGTGAGCACTCCCACCGGGCAATGGCAGAACAGTGGGCTTTGTAAGGTGGGAGCAAGGAAACAGACCAATAGAAAAAAAAGCTGACTGGTTAACATCAGGTTACTTTTTTGAAAGGATTAAAGCAGAGGGGACTTCCTTGTTAATGTGACTCAGGGAGAGTGTAATCTCCTGTTTTCAGGAACAACTGGTCTGTTGAGGATCTACCTGTTTCATTAAAGTATAAGTTTGTTTATGTAGCATTTAGCATGAGTGACTCCATTTTGGTTTTGTGTGATCTGTTGAGGCCTCGTGCAGGAGCTCAGTCCAAAATGGTGGCTTCTCATAAGTTTTGTTTTACAAAACAAAGAAATAAATGATACAATCACCAATTATTGCAACGTTGAGAAAGGGATGACATTTCTAGTTGTAATATTCAGGGAAAACTAAAATGTTACCTGAAAAATGAGTTAAAACATGTAATTAGGTTGCTATTGTAAATAGTGCTGCAATAAACAAATGCCCATCAATGATAGACTGGATAATGAAAATGTGACACATATACATCATGAAATACTATGCAGCCATAAAAAAGAATGAGTTCATGTCCTTTGCAGGGACATGGATGAAGCCGGAAACTATCATCCTCAGCAAACTAACACAGGAACAGAAAACCAAACATCGCATGTTCGCACTCATAACTGGGAGTTGAACAATGAGAACACATGGACACAGGGAGGGGAACATCACACACCAGGGCCTGTTGGGGGTGGGGTGAAAGGGGAGGGAGAGCAATAGGACGAATACCTAATGCATGTGGGGCTTAAAACCTAGATGACGGTTTGATAGGTGCAGCAAACCACCATGGCACATGTATACCTATGTAACAAACCTGCACGATCAGCACACGTATCCCAGAACTTAAGGTAAAATTTAAATTAAAATTAAATTTAAAAATTTAAAATTTTAAAAATTAAATATATATATTTATATATAATTATATATTCATATATTTATATATAATTAAATATACATTCATATATTTATTTATGAATTTATATATATGTGAATTTAAATATATAAATATTATAAATATATATATTTATATATATAAATATATTTTTATATATAAATATATATTTTTATATATATTTAATTAGGTTGAAAAATGTATTCCACAGGCCCACAGTATGACTTAGCAATTCAAGGGACATCTTATATGAAAATGTGTAAAGGGGCAAAACAACATGCTTAGGCATATGTTAGGAGAACTGAGTGTTGTGGGTTGAGAGCCAAGGAGAGAAGAAAGAGGAGAATGACAAGATAAGCTGCCAGATAAGGAATAGTTTTATGTGCAAAGAAGAGGAGTTTTAACTTAATACTGCAGGAAGAGTGTTAGATAGGGTTAATGAATAAGAAGGCATTGCTGAAATGTTACTCTGTCAATTACAGGACAGACTGAAGGGGTAAGAAGAGAGGTTGGGTAAGGGAGACCTATTTAGGTTATTACAGTAGTCTATTTATGCTTCTATATAATGTTGCTGGAAATTGATAGAAATGAGAGACAGGACTAGCTGGATTTCCTAGGCCGACTAAGAATCCCTAAGCCTAGCTGAGAAGGTGACCGCATCCACCTTTAAACAGGGAGCTTGCAACTTAGTTCACACCCAACCAATCAGAGAGCTCACTAAAATGGTAATTAAGCAAAAACAGGAGGTAAAGAAATAGCCAATCATCTATTGCCTGAGAGCAGAGCTGGAGGGATAAGGATCGGGATATAAACCCAGGCATTCGAGCAGGCAACGGCAACCCCCTTTGGGTCCCCTCCCTTTGTATGGGGGCTCTGTTTTCACTCTATTTCACTCTATTAAATCTTGCAACTGCACCTTCTGGTCCATGTTTGTTACGGCTGGAACTGAGCTTTCGGTCACTGTCCACCACTGCTGTTTGCCACCATCGCAGACCTGCTGCTGACTCCCATCCCTCCGGATCCAGCAGGGTGTCTGCTGTGCTCTTGATCCAGTGAGGCGCCCGTTGCCACTCCTGATGGGGCTAAAGGCTTGCCATTGTTTCTGCATGGCTAAATGCCTGGGTTCGTCCTAATCGAGCTGAACCCTAGTCACTGGGTTCCAGGGTTCTCTTCTGTGACCCACGACTTCTAATAGAGCTATAACACTCACTGCATGGCCCAAGATTCCATTCGTTGGAATCCGTGAGGCCAAGAACCCCAGGTCAGAGAACAGGAGGCTTGCCACCATCTTGGAAGTGACCTGCTGCCATTTTGGAAGTAGCCAACCACCATCTTGGGAGCTCTGGGAGCAAGGACCCCCGGTTACAGAAATATTATCTTTCATTTTATAATTTAAAATGTATTTTTACATATATATTTCATTTAATCTTCACATTAAAGATTAAAGCAAAAATAACCCCACTGAGGTGCAATTAATTAATTTACTTATTCATTTGTTTCTTCTCTTTCTTTTTTAAATATATAGCATTCATTTTTTCCATAAAACTGCTAATTTCTTATGTACACATTAGCAAAATAAATTAAATATGAATTAAGGTTATATATATATATATATATATATATATATATATTTTTTTTTTTTTTTTTTTTTTTTTTCTGAAATGGAGTTTCACTCTTGTTGCCCTGGCTGGAGTGCAATGGTGTGATCTCAGCTCACTACAACCTCTGCCTCCCGGGTTCAAGTGATTCTCCTGCCTCAGCCTCCTGACTGGCTGGGATTACAGGCATGTGCCACCACGCGCAGCTATTTTTTGTATTTTTAGTAGAGATGGGGTTTCTTCATGTTGGCCAAGATGGTCTTGAACTCCTGACCTCAGGTGAACCACCCTCCTTGGCCTCCCAAAGTGCTGGGATTACAGGTGTGAGCCACCACACCCAGCCCATATTTTTACTTATAGATTTATTTAATTTAAAAAATTGTCCTGCTCACACCCTGGAGATGTTGAAACTGTGTTGAGTGCTTATTTTTACGTGAAAAACAATATTGCCAATATTTTCCATGTTAACTTTATGTGTTGAGGTGGCTTACACAAAAGGGGAAGGATGTTAAATACACATAAATTTTGTCAGGAGTGTAACATCAAACTTCGAATTCTACTCTCTGCTCTCAGGTGGCAAATAAAATAAGATGCAGTAGAAAGAGCACGAGCCAACTCAACACATGGATTGGACTTTGCTGCTTACCAACTATGAGAAAATGAACAACACCTTTCACCTCTAAAGTATTATTTCTTTTTCTATAAAATTTAGTTAGGAATTGCTGCATTTTCCTCAATCTTGAATAGTTTCCAATCTCACATAGCATGGAGTGTTTTCCTTTTCTTTTCTTTCTTTTCTTTTTTTTTTTTTGAGACAGAGTCCCACTCTATTGCCCAGGCTGGGCTGGAATGCAGTGGCATGATCTCGGCTCACTGCAGCCTCAGCCTCCCAGATTCAAGTCATTCTTGTGCCTCAGCCTCCCAAGTAGCTGGGATTACAGGTGTGCACCACCATACCCAGCTAATTTTTTGTATTTTTAGTAGAGATGCGGTTTCACCATGTTGGCCAGGCTGGTCTCGAACTCCTGACCTCAAGTGATCTGCCCATCATGGCCTCCCAAAGTGCTGGGATTACAGATATGAGCCACTGTGCCTGGCCTTTTTTTTTTTCTTCTTTTTATCAAGGTAGACACAAGTCTCTTAGATTGGCCCTGTGCTTTTCTTGCTCACCAAGTCACTAGCCCTCACTTAGTGCTTACAGAATGAAAGGGTGAATGATATTATGCAAAATGGTACTGTCTTTATTACAATGCAAAATAGCAAATGTTTCTATTAGCAAGCAGTTTACCCACATGACATAAATGTTTCTAACTGTAGGAAACACATGGCTTGGGGATCATGAATGTTTAATGGGTTTGAGTTTTAAAGGCACTTGGTTTAAAAATAACTCTTGGAACTGTTGAGTAATGTTGATTATGCATTGTTTTGCCATGCGTCAAAAAGATAATATGTCTCTATGAATTCCATTTCTGTTTCTCATTATCTGCACCCTACATCATTAACTTTTAAGGAATTTGGCTTTTATTTGCTGTCCTAATGTTGCAAAGTTTCATTTTTCTTCTTCAAATGACTAGCACTTTTGAAGAAAGAGTGTTTTCTTTTGATATGCAGTTTGTATTGACACCTTTGTTTTGTTCTCCCAAGTTTGTTATAGGTGAAATTTGAAGAATTTAAAGTCTTCAGTACAAAGTCTCTTCAAGAATTTGTCCTCATACCTTCACCACAAGAGCAAGAGCCCCCTCCTCCTCAGGAAAGGCAGGAAGAAAATACTCTGATATAAATTTCCTGCTGCCTCAAGGAAAGAGCAGAACAATGTGTTATAAATGTAATAAACTGAAGGAATTATTTTCAGATATCACATTGTTATGCAATATGATACAACATAGGGGGTTACATTTAGGGGCAGATTTTCTTTCTTTGATGTTTACCCTATCCCACAGAGTGACCTTTTTAGAGTAGCCACACACAAGACTGTACCAGCATAGAACTGATGCGAACAGGGAGCAGCTTTGTTCAAAGTGAAGGTCACTATGGCATGGACTTCCCCTACTGAAAAAAACAAAGGTAAATGCATTGATAATATTTGGGTCTTTTTTTTAAAAAAAAGAAGGGGATGTGTGCAAAAATATTGCTTAATTTCCAAGGAACTGCAGCTTGATTTCACTTATGCAGAAGGTAATGACCATATCTGTAGGGTGGCCTCTCACAACTCAAACTCAGTAGTTGACTCTGGCTTTCTGTACATCAAGGAGCTCTGCGGCTGAGAGCTATAGAAACCAGAGAATTTTAATCTATCATTTCATCTTGAGATATACTGGGAAGTACTTTTCTATCAATGACAGCCTTATTGGCTACAGAGATATTTAACCGTGAATACTTAAGGGTGTGCTAGGATTTTCTTAACCTACCACTTAGCTGTCCACAGAAGGTCATCAATCAACATTCAAAGTTATCTTATTTTTCTAACCTAGATATATTTACATTGTGGTCTACAGAGTCTAAATAGTTCCACATAGAACCATCAGCAGATATCAAGGGAAGTGAGGAACAGAGTTACAGAACTGACGCACAACAGCTATATCATTATCTGTTCCATATATTAAAATGCCCTTAAAATTACAACTCAAGAAAAGATTAACAGTAAAAACACTGAGCCACAATCACTCTGTCTTCCCCTCTGCTTCCCTAAAAGGCCTCTGCGCTGTAAGTCTGTGTTCTCTCTTTTCTCGGAATACTGTTGTGCCTTTTTATGTCCTTGCTTAGTTTAACGCAAGATCTTAGTTTAAAGGGTCTCAGATTTGGAGAAAAAATCTCTGTCTTGGAGGTGCTCTCACTCAACCTTCTAATCAGAGACCTCAACCCTTCTTTACAACCTAGTCATTTCTTTCTCCAGCTCAGACACATACATATCCTATATTCAATAGTGGAACAGGCCTCCTCCATTCTATACCACTGGGTATTATAGATATTCAACTTATTTGCTTTCTGAACCAGATAAATCACCACAATTAAGACTCTCATTTGCTACAAATGGAAGGTGCTAGCAATTGAATCATGTTCATAATTAATAAAAGAAAAAATATTTTTTATATCTGTAGGTTAAAAATAAGCATCATTCTCTCTCTTCAGAAACAATCCATGGTATTAGTGTCAAAGTATATTTGAGAGATTTAAACATTTGGATTTTAATGACAGAGTGACAACCTCAGAAAGGTTGCACTATAAGTAATCATTCCACTGGCAGCTGAGAATGCTCTCCACCAACACTGACTTTCTCCTGAATAGTCTTCCCGTGATCTCTAATGTGCTGACCAATCTCCTCTTTTACACTGTTTTTCATTCCTTTAAAGAGAGATGTTTAAATGCCAGGTGTATAGAACATGGAGTGTCATAACAGGTGACATCACTTCAACACTTTTTACTGTCACCCATTTTTTTTCCAAATATTTATTTATGTTGGTAGCATCCACTTTAAGTCCCAGAAAAACTGAGAGAAATTTGTGATAATATGCCATGGCTAATGGGACCTATTCATCTCGTGTTAAAAACAGTCGATCAATATATTAAGTAAACCCTTATATTTATGGATTGTGTGGTAGTAAAGTGATTAGGATCTAACTTAGACAGTAAGGGATCCAACTGATGATCCACACTACTTGGAAACTGTTGACCTTGTTTAAGATACATAGCCTCTCATAGCCTCAAATTCCTTATCCTATAAAGGGAAATAATGATACCCACTTCATAAAGCCCTTGAAAGTTTTAATTGAAATAGTACAAATTCTATAATTTTTTGCTAGAAAATGGTCATGGCTATTTTTCTTTCGTACATTTGATCTTATAACCTTAATACATAAATTAGCTTTTGGTTCATTTAATCTAACAGCATTTTTCAGATAAGAAACTTAAAATAACTGAGAACTAGTATGTTTTTCCTAATATATCCAATCATTTAATCAAAGATGCAAAACCAGAGAAGAGGTCTTCCTACATTCATGGTCTCCTAATTGTAAAACAAGATGTAAGTAAAAACAACACAAATTATGTAAGTTAGTATAATAAACAAATGATATATTAAAATGAGAAAGAGCCATTGTTCTCTGATTCATTTCAACAACTTGTTAACTTGCTTTGGGAGCTATGGTAAATTATATTTTAATGACAAAATGCTTGGGTATTCTTGACTTGAAAAGATCATAAAGACAATATATTATCAAGAAAATGTGTGTTCATGAAATTGGTAAGACAGAAGTATTTGAACCATGGAAAGCCAAGGAAAAGACACTCATCCACTTTGAGCAGCAGCTTGTAACCAAGTTCAGACCCTCTGTAATGTGTAAAGGATCCTAAGAACTTCCTGCAAGAATCTCAAACCTCATCTTGATGTCTCAGGTCTCACCAGCAAAGAAGCTCTGATATGTCTAGAGTCCCAGTTCTTGGCAGTGCCTAAGTGTCACAGGAGCAGAGATGCATGCACATACCTCTGGAAACACACTTCCCCTGACCTTTTCCTCCAAATATATATATTTTAAGTACAAGTCACCAATATTTCTCTCTTAAATACAATTCCAGCTCACAAGCTATAATCTTGATCCACTAGACTATAAACTTTGTGAGGATGAGTGAGGACCTTATTTATTTTATTTATTGCTGTATCATCAAAAATGAGACTCCAGTCAAACACCAACAAGGCAACTATTCTGTGTGAGAGGATTTTATGTGCTATAAGAGACTATTCTATATTGGAAGACCTGATTTTGAAATCTCAAATGAAGATTATTCTTAAGGCTTTACTGGCCAAAGAAAAACACCATACAACCTCTAAGACACTCTCTTAGTCCATTTTTGTGCTGCTGTACCAGAATAGCAGATATCAGGTAACTTATGAAACAAAAAAATAAAATATTTGGCTTATGGCTCTGGAGGCTGGGAAGTCCAAGGTTGAGAGGTCACATCTTGTGAGGACCTTCTTGCTGCATGAGAGCAAGAGCTTAAACTGGCAACCTCCAGTACTTTTATGCTTGGCAGAAATCCATTCCTGAGGGTGGAGCCCTCATGACCTAAACACCTCCCATTAAGACTTACCTCCTAACACTGTTACATTTGGGATTAAGTTCCTAATACATGCTTTTTTGGGAGACACATTTTCTAATAAGTCTGAATTTGTACAATGATCTCCGTCCCTTCTCTGATGCAAGATTCCAAGCACCCTAATGCCTAATTCAGCAATTTCATGCTGCTCATCCTGGTGCTCTGGGTTTGTCCATGGTTTAGATCTATGCTACTGACCAACCTCAGCTATCTGTTCCCCTTTAGCTCCAGCTGATGTACTCTCAGCCCCTGGCAGGAGTGTATGTAATCATAGGCAAGGAATTGGGCACACGAGAAAAACCAGACATTAGACCAAACTTTAATATTCTCACAATTCATGACCTTTTATAAATCATTTCCTTTCTTGGGATCTCTGGCTTCAATTGCAAATGTAAAGATTATTTCATCAAAATATTTTTGTTTGTTTTGATTTCTGTGGCCTATTGGAAGGTGGAGGATGGGGGGAGGGAAAGGATTCAGGAAAATAATTAATGGGTACTAGGCTTAACACCTGGGTGATGAAATAATCTGTACAACAAATCCCCATGACAAAAGTTTATCTACATATTTAATAACAAACCCACACATGTACTGCTGAACTTAAAAGTAAAATTTTAAAAAGTTGTTTTTAGAACTAGATTTTATTTTTTATTCTGTCTGGGAGCAAGAAAGAAGGCTTGAATGTGAGAATCAGGCAAAGCTTCGCAAACAAACTTTTATATGATCCTTAAGGTAAAAGCAGAATTGAAACTGGCCAAGACCAACAAACTAAACCAGGTAAAGGGAGAAACATTAGTGCAGACACTGAGATAGAAAAACACAGGTCACCTACAAACCAGTGCCACTCCTACAGATTTTTATCAATTAGTGTATTTTATGCATAAGGTTAAATTTATCAGTAATAAGATATTATGAAAGGGAAATTTATTCAATATTAAGAACTTTCCTTTATTCTATCTGCCTGTTTTGCAATTAAAAGTTCCTTTTAAAAATGGGGCATCAATACTATCTTATGGAATATGTATTCTTTAAAATATCCTTACACCTCAAAATTAAAAGTTGGAAAAAATAAGGTGGTAGCCAGAATGTTTTCTAAAATTTTACTAGTTCAAAAAAATTTTTTTAAGTATTGAGATCATTCGCATAAACTGAATAGCAAAAAATTCTGATTGGAGCTCCAGCCTCTTTGGTGGACTATAAGATTAATAAAATGTGGTTCAAAGACCATGAATGTCATAATAGGTGTTACTATTACCACCATTTTCTTAAAGAAAAAATAAAGGTTCTGGGAAGTAAAATTACTTTCCAAAAGTTTCATTTTTAGTTGAAAAATTGTATTTGTAACTTGAAAGCTTGTGTTTCTAATGCTTTTGACAAAAGCATTATCTTCTTACCCAGTGATTTTGGTGACAGCAGTATCATTGGAGTGGTGAGGGCAGAATCAATTTTGTCTAGCATTGGGGCATGCGATATAGAAGGGTATTTAGAATAGAATGAATTCCAAAAACCTTTCTGTGAAGTGAGATAGCCTTAGTTGCAGATACATGTATGACATGGGTCAAATAAGAGCATTTTTTTTTATTTTGATGCTCGACTTTTCTTTTTATTAATGGGAAAAAAGTAGAAGTCTGAAATCAGTTTCAATGGGAAAAAAATCAGTCTGGTGGGGACAGGGCCACTCTTTCTCCAAAAGCTGTAAAGGAGAATTCATTGCTTGCTACTTTCAGCTTCTGGTAGCTACCAGCATTTCTTGATGTGTGGCTACATCGCTTCAATCTCTACCTTAGTAGTTATATTGCCTTTTCTTCTTCTGTGTCAAATCTCCCTCTGTCTCCTTCTTATAAGGCACTCAAGGTTACATATAGGGCTCATCCAAATAATCCAGGAAAATTCTTCCATCTCAATATCTTTAATCACACCCACAATCTACCCTCTGATCCCCAAAGATTTACATCTATCCTCCATGCAAAATGTGCTCATCACATTCTGCCCAACCCTAAAATGACTCAACCATTTACATCAACTCCAAGTCCAAAATCTCGTCTAAATATCATCAGCTCAAAACTCTCAAATTTCATCATTTAAATCAGATATGGGGAGCCTCTAGGTATGAGACATCCTGGGGCAGAATTCTTTGACATTTTTAAAGTAAAACATTTGGCCCTGTGCCTTGCATGTAATAGGTGCCCACAAAATGTTAGCCACCATCAGAATTATCCCCTTCATCTTTTTCCCTCATTACATGCTGAGACCAGCTCGGTCGGGGAGACCCTAACCCAGCAGCTCTAGAGGAATTAAAGACACACACACAGAAATATAGAGGTGTAAAGTGGGAAATCGGGGGTCTCACAGCCTTCAGAGCTTAGAGCCCCAAACAGAGATTTACCCACATATTTATTAACAGCAAACCAGTCATTGGCATTGTTTCTATAGATATTAAATTAACTAAAAGTATCCCTTATGGGAAACGAAGGGATGGGCCGAATTAAAGGAATAGGTTGGGCTAGTTACCTGCAGCAGGAACATGTCCTTAAGGCATACATCGCTCATGCTATTGTTTGTGGCTTAAGAATGCCTTTAAGTGGTTTTCCACCCAGGGCTGGCCAGGTGTTCCTTGTCCTCCTTCCTGTAAAGCCACAACCTACCACCTTGGGCGTTAGGGCCATTATGAACATGTCACAGTGCTGCAGAGATTTTGTTTATGGCCAGTCTTGGGGCCAGTTAATGGCCAGATTTTGGGGGGCTTGCTCCCAACAATTACATGGCTTATTTTCTTTAGCTTACCATGGTTCTGCTGTAGCTATGTCTTTAAACATGGACGATTCAGATCCTCCTTGGAATAACATAAAAAGTTAATCATAAATGAAAAATAAAATGATTGACTGTTTAGAAAAAAGGATAATCAGAATGGAGACGATAAGGGAAGAATATCACTAAATAGGTTTCACATTCTCATAGCAGAGAAAAGACAAAGTGTAAGATGTGATGATGATGTTGATGATGATGATGGTCATGGTGGTACTAGGAGTAGCAGTAGCAGTAACCCTTACTGAGAATTTATCTTGTAATGGAAGCTTTTCTAAGTGTTTTACCTGTGTTACCTCATTTAATCTTCACCACACTCTTGTGAGGTGGACATTTTATTATCCTCATGTTTAGAGGAGGAAACTGGGATAGAGAATTTATGCAATTAGTAAGTGGCAAAGGCATGTTCTCCATGATAGCTAATTGAAACAAAGTGCATCAAGCACCTGTCTCATATAATCCTGAAATTCATGAAATGCAATTTCAGAGAATTTCTGTTCTTTAGAAAATAACCTGCAGAATAAGATATAGAAGAGAAAATAAAAATAGCTAAAGCAGTATGCTCTAAACAAAATCAACAACGTCAAAAAATGTTAATAAGTAGCATACAAACTTTAGTTACAGACATATTCCAGTTAATATATCAAATCTACCTCTTACCTGATGTATTAATTTGGTAAAATAATGTAAGAAGTGTGAAAAATGAAAGTATATAAGAACTAGATGAAAACCTGAGTGAATTCCTCTTCAAACTTTCTTTGTAGGGAAAGGCTTTCTAACTATGAATCTAATTATGAATCTAAGCCTCTTTTACTTTCTTCTGGAAAAAAAAAACACTTTACTTTTTATTTGGGAGATTACTTGTGACTTAGGTTGAACTCTCAATCAAAGTACCTTGCCTTCTCTGGCCAAAACATGGATTTGTGACCAAAGCTACTCCAGTCTGCCTTTCTCCCCTAGAATTTAAATCAGTTTTAACATTTGTGTTTTATATTATTAAAGCATGAAATAAGAAGGGAGCCAGATACATATAAATTATTCGAACTCCTTTCTCCCTGAAAAGGCAGAAATTTAAAGAATTATCCTCACATTGAGAGACTATATCTGAACTCATGGGGACAAAAGTAAATTGTAATGACATTTGCATTTTGTAATTAACATGGTTTGGAACTTGAAGATTTGGAATTTGAACAAAGTGGTGAATTATGAAACAGGAGTGGGCATGTATCAGAACATGAACAAATGATGAGTTCTGCATTGAGGATTTACATATTGAGGACAGGCCATTTGTACTGGCTTAACTATGTAAAATTGTACAGCATTAGCAAGAAAGAGCAGCTGTGGCATGACAGTGGCGATGCCAGGACAGATCTGGGCAGTGGATCTTATTCTTTCTGAACTCTTGGCATACTCTATAAAGAATGAAAAGTTGCATATGAGTTAAACAAAAATTAAAATATCTCAAAACTGAGAGCAGGAAGCTTTAAAATTTTACACTCTTCACTTCTTTGATTTTTATGATTATGTTATGGTTTCAGTGAAATAATTCACTATCCTGATCAAGTTCTATTGACAATTATGAAGCAAAGATTTTAAGACTTTGCTTCCAAACTTTGTAACATTTGTTTCAAAACTTTAAACAAACAGTACATTTTCATTATTGCGAATTATGCAATTGTATGCATAATTCATCATGTCTCACTAAAAAACAACATCTAACTTGCAGATAATCTAGAAAAAGAAAAATGATACTGGCCATCTACGAGAAAAACAAAGGACTAAAGATGGAATGAAATAAAAAGATTAGAATTTATGAAAAAACTATAAGGCATGAAAAATTGAAAGTTTGTAATATCAGTGGATAAATATTGCAGTTTCATTTCATAGGTAGAACAGGTGTTTGTGAGCACAAATGTTGAAAGGCAATCATATTTGTGTATACATAAAGTCATATGAAAATAAACATTGTTTATGAGGTCCAGAGAATTCTCATTTGAATAATAAAGTCTCTCAAATTTATGGCAATAGCTGGGATATATAGGGAACCTGTGAACTAAGTTTTGGGACTAACTAAAAGGTTGGGAAGTGACAGTGGTGAGACATACTATTCGAGTTCTGTGTTGTATCCATGTCCCTTTCAGCATCCCCAGATTGTCATGGAGCAAATAAAGTTGCAACTCCACTTGCTAGGATTAGAATAAAATGTGAAGACAGTGTAAGTCAGGCAACAGCTCTCAGAAGTAGCTATTCTGCCTGCAGTGCTTCTAAATAACACCAGACTGGTCTTTAAAGCCTGGTACAAAAGTGATCCTATTTACTCTTGTGGCATCTTTCAATGTGTAAATTGAAGACCAATAAATCTTTTCTTATGAAGACAGTTAAGGTTTCAGAAGGATAAACATGCCATTCAAAAGAAATATTAATTTTATTAATAATAAGTGGATCCTCAAATAGTAATAAACAAAAATAGGTTTTATATTGATATGCCCAGCAGGGATTATGCCTCTGTCTGATAAAATGTAGGTGCCCTTTTGCTCCTATGAAACACACCTCGTGGTATTTTATTTTAAAATAGGATTTTTTTTTCACTCTCATGGTACAGCCTGTTACTAGGGAAGGGGAAATGTAAGTTTAAACCACAGAAGAATTCAGGAGAGTTATCCTATGAATTTTGTTAGTTGAATAACCTCTTATGAAAGAAATGAACCCTACTCATGGATGCTGCCAGGGGATGATTGGTTGGAAGAATTGAGAGACATTTTGAAGGACCTAGAGGCTGACAAGTAACACGATATCACTCTGAAGTGAGTAGCTTAATTTCTCTACGGATTGAACTTCAGAAATGATGACTTTACAATAGAGTACTGCATCAGAAGAGAAAATCACAGTCTGTCAAGTAAAGGAAATTGGTATCTCTATGTTTCTCATTTCAAGAAGAGGCCTATTATTTTACCCCAGCATATAAAATTCCAATCAAAGTTCCATATACTCAGAATAATTCTGGGATTCTGGTCCCAGTTCTATGCAGTTAATAGGATGTACAATGTATTGTTTGAGAAGAAGCAATGTAAAGACACAAAATTACCAAATATTTTTCTTCTTTCTTTAACACCTAGGAATTTATATGGGTACAGCTTTATCCAATTAAATCATTACCACCATTAAAGAATAAAATTAAGTTAATGCTACATAGGATGCTGACGGCATTAAAAATGAGGGATTCTGTCTCTTCTGATAGAAAATTTTAGGTATTAAGTGACAGCAGCTCGGGGGACAAGAAGTCTAGAAACAGCAACAGAAAATATTCACCAAATCGTAATTTTTCCATAATGAGACCTAATCTTTCAAATAAAATTTTACCACTTATTAAGTTCCCAGCACATGTATTAGTTTTTGTGTTGTGCAGTTGTCATTCAAACTAATGGGTTGAAACAGTCATATGTGCAAATAAAATATGAGTTGTTTACCAACACAAAATAACTAAATAGTTCAGTAGCCTTTGCTTAAGTTGACTGGATAAGAGAGTCTGAGGCCAAAGATATAATGATATCATATTACAGATATTTGTATCCAAGGGAAGCAAAAGCGAAGGATAAAGGTTAAGTGACACAGAGAAATAGAAAAAGCAAATACAAGAAGGAGCATTAGTTCTCACTAAGCACAGCTGATGGCAGGACATTTTCAGAAACCTAAATACAACTACCATGTCTCAGGGAAATTTATTAAGGTAAGAAGAGAAGATAATCTCTCTGCCAGCTCTATTCCAGTTTCCATTCCCCATTGGTAAAAGCATGTCCACAGGTCATAATAGTTCGTATGTCAAAGATGTGTTACTTGGTGACTCACGTAAACATTTGGGGCGTGCCAGAGGCTCTGTGTATCCAGACTTGTTAATGTGCTGGTATAGCTGTCTCTACTTATCAGTCACCTTGTACATGTGAAATCATTATTCTGAAGTGTTGGCAACAGTTGCTGCAAAAGTATGGGTTGAACCATCTCTAGGGCCATTATGGAGCAAATCAGTATGCAAGTCTAAAGGCAAGAAAATAGGTAAATTGGAACATATTTGGGATAGTATATAACTTTGTTTAGTAAGGGCCATCTCTTGAACCATTCTTGTAAGTTGATCCACGTAGAAAAAAAAAGCTTCCCTCAAGAAAAGTAGGTATCCAGTTCTTCAAGGGTACCACTAGGTTATATGTCCTAGAAAAAGTTAAATAAAAAGGCTAAGCAAAATACAGTATCAATTTTTATATCACATCTATTTCTCCCCCATCTATGTAAGATTTCCCTCATAGTTGGCCATCACTTAGCTGAGTTGGGTTGCTTACTTGGAAGAATAACCCTTACTGAAACCACGGTGGTTTTTACACTTAGCTGCAGTGTTTTCATGTTCTTGTGGATATTATTGTTGAAACTGACTATTTTCATATAATGCTGGGTGTTGAAGCACCAAGAGAAAACCTGATGAAACTTCTGGGTTAAACATACCCCCACCACTACCCTCAAAAAAATCAGGGTGGATTATCAGTAGAGTAACTCTTTCCTTTGCTTGCTAGTCCCCCAATATGAGAGGCTGAAAATGACAACATGGTAAGCCCAGATTTTAGTACAGTGGATACTTGACTACAAGCCCTGCCAAGACCCTAGCTTCACCTAGCCCCAGGAAGCAGTTAACAATTACCTGAAAGATCTTAAGATTTGGAAATGAAAAGTTCAAATTTCAAAGTGCATAAAATAACTGGGAGTGATGATGGGAGCTGTTGATCCTACTTTTACTCCTTAGTTGCTGGGTCAGTGTATTTTATTGAGGACACTGTATATGAAATAAATAATTGATTCAGTGCATAAGTGGCTGGGAGACAGTGCCCAATCTCATGAGGTTTTGTCTATTTGATGCCTCAATTAAGCCTTCAGCACTCCATTCCAATATCAGTCCTGTTCAATCAAGTTGGCTGATTTTTGATGGTTGAGTATGTGGTATGTACAGTGGAATTCCTATTTATTAACTCATTGTCACCGTTCCTTTTCTATAAAAGACTGAGCAATATTATGTGGCATACCATGTCAATACATTAGTCATTCTGTTAGTCTTCAGTTAGTGGTGCTGGTGACAGTACACAAACATGAAGAGCCAATTCAAGTATTGATTCCAATATGGTGAGTTTCTGTCTCTGCCAAAGTGGAAAGTTGTTGAATGTGATTGAACAGCCAATGTTTGGATGGCCTAAATATCTGAAGAATAAAGCCATATTAAAGCTTTGGCATTGGTTTCTGTTGTTGGCAGGTTGGATATTCAGCACTGGTGGTAGCTAGCATATCTTTAGTGGACAGTCCCTGTTTTGGGACTTAAGAATGTATTTCATTTTTTTCCTAATGTTTATTCTGTCCTTAGGTACATGGTACAAGTACCAGAATAATCTAAGAAACAGTTAGATTGACAGTCACAAGATGAGTCATCCTATACATCCAGTTTTTGAGAGACTTGTTTGTAGTAGATACTATCTGTTGGCCATTAGTATGAGACAAAAAATGTCTGCAGTGTTTGTTCTAGATTGTATATATGCATCTGGGCACCTATTCCCCTGGTAACCTTGTTCTGAATCTTGTAAGCTTGTTCCTTCTAGGCCTCTGACCAAACAATGCAGCCATTCTCCACTGCCCGAGGTTCAGGGTATATCAATACCTTAGATATCCTCCCCCACCAAAAAAGTGGGTTTTATTTCATCACTGTGTCTTGTGCCACCCTTGAGATGAATTTTAATTCAGTAGAATATCTTTGCCAGCTAGTACCAACATACCGTATTGATAGCTCTAAATTAGGTTTCTACGCTTTCCTCCTTCATGAAGGAACTGCATATAAACTACAAGCAGGGGTTAAGGGAAACATGCCAGGTCAGCTGAGGTAGGTGACAGGGGAATCTGGACTTCTTCATCATGTAAATTATGTCTTCCTTTTGTACCTGCTCAAAGCCAATTTTGAATGATTAGTTACTATGATAAAATAAATTACAACTATGCCCACTCCATCCTATGACTTGGTAAATTTGATAACACATAACACCCTGAGTATATAGTCTTTTGCTATTTAAGGATCAGGTATTTTGTCTTTATTAAATCTAAACAGGGGAGTACCTAAAGTCAATGTAAATTGGTGTGTTCATTTAGTTGCTGAAAATAATTTTGATGAAGATTATTTTTGATATAAAGTTTTACTAGTACTCTATGGAACTTTCTGTATTCCAGATACAGAAACAGATGAGCAAAAGGCAAATAACAGAGGAGGTAAGAAGGAAGAGCAAGCATCTCTATGTCTACAACTCTGCTACGTTAGGAACTCACTAATAAATATTGCAATATTTACCATTTTGATGTGAGCAATGGAAGAGAGAAGGGGAGTTATATTTGATTATATTCAGTGCTATAATCTTATTAAAAGAGAAGATGTTCACAGCCATAATTTCCTTTTAGTGCTAAAGAAAAATCAATAATAAACCTAGTGTCTTTCATGCCAAAATGGATTAGTTTATATTATTGAAGATAATGTATTCTGTATTCAAGTTTGTACTTAAATACAGTGCAACTGAAAAGACTGAATTGTCTAGATGAAATAGTTGTAACTGAGACAAGTCACAAATAGAATTAATAAATACTTCTGCAGTAAATCTTTACTTATTTGGAAATTGAGGCTTGTTTTGGTACAAAAAAAAACAAGGTTTATGGTATACTTTTAGAGGCGGAAAAACATAAATAATATATGCATAATATTCTTATACTTATAAAATGTTTTTATATACACTATTTTAATTGAATTGCTTGTGAGTATTATAGTGAGTTAATTAAATGTTAACAATGTCTTGCCACATGGAAATACTGTTAGATCTAGCTTAATAAAAAAGAAAGAATACTGTAATCGTTTTTTATGGATACAGCTTGTATAAAATACATTTCTTAAGCACTTTCTCTCTCAATAAAATGAATCAGTGTCCTACAAAATTTGACTCATAATTTTAATTTGCATAAGATTTATTATTTAATACATACTATAAAAATATCAAATTACCATGATTTCACTAAAATAAAAAACCACCAAAATCAAAATCACAGAGTTTTTTATTTTAGTGTGTATGAGATAATATCAAGAAATATAAACTTTATGCCTTAATTATTCATGCCCAGTTATTCCTGGCTTCTTTTTCAAGTGTTTAATGTATATTATGAAGCAGATGCATGTGGAAAGACTTATGCCATAATTTATATAAGTGAATAGGCAAACCAGATTTTTTTAAAGAGCAGAGAACTAACAGTGAGAGACGAATGAGCCATAGAAACAACCATCTCCCTGGAGCTCATTTACAGAACACAAAATCATAGGTATATTCTCATTCATAAACTCATTGTATGAAAAGCCAAGGTCTCCCAGACCATTTCTGCCTCCTAAAATGTACTGACTACCTGAGGGCTTTTTCAGGTGATAGAATTTTCAGCGCTAAGAATAAGACAGTCTTAGGAAACCAGGATAATTTGTCACAATAAGTACTAGACACTTTTACTTGGGGACAACAAATGGGGACAGTTTATGGGGCTTGTGGGAACATCCTCATAATCTCAAATTCCCTTCATGATCCTTACAACATGATCACCCCCAAAAAATTCCAAAACCCTTGCCTTGTTGAAAAAAAAAAAACATAGAAAAACTTTCAGAAAAGAAAGAAACCATTCTCACTTAGATCATCCTCACTGAATTACCAATAAATCTCAAGTTTTAATTTCCATTCTCACCTATTGGTTATCTCCTATTGTCTAGCGTTATTTTTTTTTAATGTTGAAGAATGTTAAAAGTAAATTAAACACACACACACACACACACACACACACACACAAAGTAAATTAAACACATCATAACATCCACCACTACAAGCTTCATGATGTGTCCTAAACAATAAACTTTCCATATATGGCTAAATGTGATGTGCTCACACTTAACAAGAGTAATTCTACAGTATCACCCAATGGGCATCCCATACCCAAGTTTACCTAGTTTGAAATTGAAAATTGGATGTAAGAACCTGGGTGCCCATAGCACGCTAAACTCAATATTTCAAACACAAACACATTCTATCCACCTCCTTTCTACCAGAATGAGATCTGTTCTTTTTCTTCTGTTCCTCTGATCGTTAACGCCATGCTGAGGAAAGAGATTTTACTTGTTTATGTTTGCTTTTATATAACCACCATACATATTTGGCTGTTGGCAAGAATATATTTTGCAATTCTTAAAAAATTCAGAATTTCTTATTAATATTAACCCTATTGTTTTCTCTTAGAAGTATTTTTAATTGGCCAGGCCTGGTGGCTCACACCTGTAATCCTGTTACTTTGGGAGGCTGAGGCGGGCAGATCACCTGAGGTCCAGAGTTCGAGACCAGCCTGACCAACATGAAAAAACCCCATCTCTACTAAAAATACAAAATTAGCTGGGCATGATGGGGCAAGCCTGTAATCCCAGCTACTCAGGAGGCTGAGGCAGGAAGCTCGCTTGAACCTGGGAGGCAGAGGCTGCAGTGAGCCGACATCGTGCCATTGCACTCCGGCCTGGGCAACAAGAGTGAAACTCCATCTCAAAAAAAAAAAAAAAAGAAAAAGAAAAAGAAAAAATTAATAGAAATATTCTTAATCTTGGACTGCGTAATTTGGTCTCCATTTCTCTTAAGTTTTATACATTTTATGATTTAATTTTTTGTGTTAATTCAGTGCAAAGTTTTCAGCATTGTCTTTCTATTTACTAATACTGATCTACAAACTATCAAGTCTCTTATTCTATGGCTCTATGTATGAATTTCAATGTGCCTAACTTGTTATTTTTCTTACTTCTGTGTTCTCTTTCATTCATATATATATTGCATATATGTATCATCCATATATATATATGCATGATATATATATATCATACATAGGTAACTAATACCTTATTATTTGCATTTATAATTTATCTGTCTTCTATTCATGTTATTGCAATGGATGTTGATATTATACTTATGTATCTGAGGAAATAAAATCTATTTATATCATATTACTGATTTGCATTTTTGCTGAGAGTATACATATTGGTATACTCATTTTGGTAAATGTTGACTATCAATCTGAGTGATACTTTCAGTCATTTACTTTGAACCTGAAATTTTCATTCTCAGGTTCATCGTCAAAAGGATTAACAAACAGAATCTTTTGATGCTTGCCCATTCATATTTTGGATTTACAGTTGCCTTTCTGGGGCACCAACTGATATTGGGGCTAATTTAGTGCCAGCTTGGCCCGTGTTTCTTTCCTGGTTGTGCTTACTTCCTTCAGCCAACCATGGCAAGGAATTGTATGCAAACCTTAGGTAGCTGGCCTAAGATTTCTCAGCCCCCGCGAACCGGCAGGGAGTCCAGGCTTCTGGTTTCACAAGATGAGCTAGACTTTGATCTTCAATAGCGCCTAAGGTACTTTTGGGCCCCGTTATCCAAGAACCCTAACTCCAGACTCTCTCCTCACACATTCAGTCCTTGATCCCAGCAGGCACACAGCTTCAGCCCCTGCCTGCTACAGTGTGTTTCTATTCATATTCTAGCCCATGGACATCTTTTTCCTGCTTGTGGTTAAATTACTTCATTTTATTTTATTTTTATTTACTCTTACTTAGCACTTCCATTTTTGAAGGGAAGGGAATACGTAAATGCACAAACTATATTCTTATTGCGGCCAGAAGTCCCCCCGTTTCTTTTCAAGATTCCATCACAATTCCTTGTCTGCCTCAGCAAAATATATTCAACATGCTCTGCTGTTCCGTCACCGCTCTACCACTCCCCAACAGCTTGCACTCTGTCCAATTTCTAACATTTTATAGAAACTATCTCAAAAAAGTCACTGATGATCTCTGCTTCCCACATAATAGTATGAAGTTTTCCACCTTTAATCTCTGCAATGGTAGATATTTGCCAATGTCCTCTTGCTTTAAATTGCTTTTCCTAGTGTTATTTTCATATTTCATAAAAGTTGTGATACAAGCATAAGCATATGAATGCCAAATCAAAACAAACAGATGTAGGCTTTCTATGGTACTAATATAACCCTTTTTCTTACATAGAAGAGTCAAGTTTAATATCTTCGATTAAAACTTTTAAGTTAGTCAATGGATTTCTACTAATTGTGCAGAACAAAATTAGTAACATATTCCATAGAGTCGGGCAGAGTTTTGACATCATTGGCCTTACTTCCCTGTATGCATGGGAGTATAGAAGACAAATGGAAAAGCAAATACTTTCAAAACAAGCAATTCTCATTTGCAAGGTTATTTTAGACTTATTTGTATGGAAGAACATTGAGTGCCCGATACTTTTATTTTATTTTGTTTTATGCGAAGCATAGTTGGTGTAAATGAAATCATTGACTACATTTCTCAAGTCTCATTCTAGAGACAATATTAAAGTCTTAATGGCATAACATAATCATACACTGTTTTTCCTTGAAATGTTATTAAAATGCTTGTAGATTCTTATGCAGTTGTTAGAAATAATAGAAAGAGATTTATATACAATTCATCAGCTTCTCCAAGTATTAACATTTTTCAAAAGTATAGAATAACATCACAACCAGGATACTGGCATTAAAACATCAACTGATCTTATTCAAATATCCTATGTTACTTCTACTCATAAATATGTGTGTGTGTTTAGTTCTATATTATTTTATCCCTTGAGTAGGTTCTTATATCCACGACCATAGTCCAGGTACTCAAAAGTTCCATCAATCCAATTAGAAAATGATAGAAAAAGATGAAAAGCATAACAAAGATGAAAAGTAAACAGACAACAAATGAGTACATTAAAATATTTTCAGCATTGTTAGCCATAAAGGAAATGCAAGTTAAAATCACAATGAGAAGATGTCACTGCACACTTATCAGAATGGCTAAAATTAAAAATAGTGACAATACCAAGTGTTTGGAAAGGATGTCGAGAAATTGGAACTCTCATGCACTGTTAGTAGAAATATAAAATGGTAGAGCCACTCTAGAAAGAAATTAGAAAAATTCCTTTTTTTCTTTTTACTTTTTTTTTTTTTTGAGACAGAGTCTCAGTCTGTCACCCAGGCTGGAGTGCAGTGGCACAATCTTGGCTCACTACAACCTCTGCCTCCCGGGTTCAAACACTTTTCTCACCTCAGTCTCCCACGTAGCTGGGACTACAGGTGTGCACCATCATGCCCTGCTAATTTTTTTTTTTTTTTTTTTTTTTTTTTTTTAGTAGAAACAGGGTTTCACCATGTTGGCCAGTGTAGTCTAGAAATTCTGACCTCAAGTGATCTGCCCTCCTTGGCCTCCCAAAGTGCTGGGATTACAAGCGTGAGCTACCATGCCTGGCCAGAAATTTCTCATAAAATTAAATATGTCTTTATAAAATGACCCAGTAATTTTACTTTCTAGTTTTTATAGCAATGAAATAAAAACTTGTGTTTACCCAAAAGCATATGAACAAATGTTTATACTCTCTTTATTCATAATAGCCCCCCAATAAAAACAACCTAGATATTGTTCAACAGGTGAATGTTTAAACAAACTGTAATAACATAGACTACTACTTACCAATAAAAAGAATGAACTAATGATATACGTTACAACTTCGCTGGATCACAAGGGAAATATTCTGAGTGAAGAAGCTTCTCTCTTAAGATTGCATATTGTATGATTACATTTACATTGAAATGATAAAATTTTAGAAATGATTAACACATTAGTGATTGCCAGGTTTGAAACTGAGATGGGAGGGAGATAGGTATGTTTACAAAAGAACAACACAAAGGATTTTAGTGATGATACACTATTTTATATTATTGTGACACTCTTTGGGTAAGAAATTTAACAGTTTCTTGTAGATGCCATTTCACTGATCTTTATAATACTCTTAAGAATAAAAATACAATTTTCTGGAAGATAGTGATAAACATATATATATATACACACACACATTTATACACACAATACAATATTTATAGTGTTATGCCATTGCAAACACATATATACGTGTGTGTGAGTATATATGTATGTGTATCTGTGTATGTATGTATGTATGTATGTATCTATCTATCTATCTATCTATCTGCCTATCATCATCTATCTTTATCTATCTATCCATCAATCTAGAGGGAGAGACATTCCTTGTTTTAGTAGCAAACTTGAGTAAATAAATAAATGGGGAAAATAATAAACAGCAGACTACAAACTCTAGCTTATTCAACCAATTTCAACATAATAATTTGGTTGTTAGGAAAGATCTTATTTCAGAACGCTGAGATATTTGTCACAAAAATATAATGTGTCAAACTTCCAAAAGTCTTGCTACATTTATGCTAGTGATTTAATAAGTTTTCACAGGAGACAATCTTCAACATTTTCCAAGGATAACAATTCTCAGAAAGGCCACGAGATCTATTTAAGAAGACAAATGTTAATTATCTGCCACAAACTTTCATTCTGCTCTAGACTCACCTAATATTTACTGAGGGACTATATCATTTAGGCCTGTGGGGAGATTTAGAATGAAATTTCCATTGACTGTACACCTGAGGTTTGGTGATAGCAAAATTAAATACATGTTAAATAGACATATTATTTCTTAGAGCAAAGGAAGGAGTAATCAATTCTGACTTGTGAAACTGTGGTATTTAAACTGGATGTACACAAAAGACAATTATAATAATAATAAAATATGAAATATGAGGTAAGTCATACCTCTCCAAAGTTATACTCTTGTTCCCCATCTTTCATTCACATCCTTTATCTAGATGACCATCAAGTAGTACTTTGCATCTCCTTGGAACAAAGATGTCCCTGACATATCTGAAGTGTGGCACATACAAAGATGGAGATATAGTGAGAGGTCAGTCCAGGGAAAATAATTAGGACAAGATCCCAGATCATTGCAAAATAAGCTACAGATAGAATATTATTTCTTTTTATATTAGCCAGTGCAGAAAATATAGGTTTATTGGACATTTCAAAAAATTTATGGAAATTATTATTGCAATTTATCAGGTCTAGAAGATGAATCAGGTAATGTCGAAAATGTGAGATACTTGCTCTCTTTGTGTCATAGTTATTCTTTGCATAGTCATGTGTTTTAGGACTCATTACAAGACATGGTCATTAATTGTTCACCAGTAAGTTTGCTACATTCAACTTTGAGGATAGGTAGCGCATTTTGCTTATCTCTTCTGTACTTGTTACAGTTCCTGAAGAAATGAATGTTTACTGTAATTAGAAACAAATAAATCAGCTCAAATATGAGTAGTTTTATATATGTAATGGTATGTTCTTGGGTAATTTCAAATACTACAGGTTATTCTGGAGACTGATAGGCAAATATTAAGAACCTTTGAAATACACATCTACTTTCCTGCCAAAAATTTCATATGTAGGTATTTTACCTAGAAAATAGCAAAAGATAAACAAAAAAAAAGTATAAACACATGGTTACTCATCAAGTTTATAATTGAAAAAAGTGAACATATTAAAATATTCAACAGTGGGAAATGGTTAAAATGATAGTATATACACAAAATGCTATAAAGAGCTATAAATATCATAATACTAAAATTACAAAATCATATGGGCCATTTCTGGTATTCTGAGGAAAAATTATGGTCTAAAAATTATCAGAAACTATAGTTCTAATATTTAAAAATAACACACATGTAAAATGATAAAAGCTGTTATTTTCTCTGGCTGCTAGAATTAAAATTTTCATTTTTTCCTTTGTGCATCCTCTTTCAAAATACCAGTGACAAAGAAGTTTAAATAAATGCAAAATAGCCTCAGAGAAACATTACAATTTGTTAACATAATAGATTGTATTTCTCAGCCTGCCTTTACTGAGGGGTGTTCATGTGACTAATTTCTCAGCATAGGGACATTAGTGCAAGCATGGTGAACAAATTTCGTGGTTGAGTCCTAAGCCTACAAGTAAACGATCTTCCAACTTTCCTTTCCCTCCTTATTTGCTGGAGGATAGATGCATACATGGCTTACTTTCTTTTTTTTTTTTTTTGAGACGGGGTCTTTCTTTGTTGCCAAGGCGCTATCCGGGCTCACTGCAAACTCCGTCTCCCGGGTTCACGCCATTCTCCTGTCTCAGCCTCCGGAGTAGCTGGGACTACAGGCGCCCGCCACTATGCCCGGCTAATTTTTTGGTAATTTTAATAGAGACGGGGTTTTACCGCGTTAGCCAGGATGGTCTCGATCTGCTGACCTCGTGATCCGCCTGCCTCAACCTCCCAAAGTGCTTAGATTTCAGGCGTGAGCCACCGTGTCCGGCCCACGGCTTACTTTCAACAACAACAACCACAACAAAAAAAATATGGAAGGAATTTGTCCTTGCAAAGCTGCCATTGTGGAATCCTCAACTGAAACTCTTGTATGGATTGAAATAAACTTTGTGGAATCCATTGTATTTGGAGCTCTCTTTTTGCAATAACATAGACTCTTATGTATGTATTATAAGAATTGGTACCAAAATTAAGTGTTACTATAATTAATTTAAAATATGCGACATTCACTTAGGGATAGTAGGGTAGAGAAGGCACATTTGTTGCAGCTGAGTAACAGGTGACTCCTGTTATACTATAGCAAAATACATGGTAAAGATAGATGATTGAGTGAACGAATATTGTTCAGATATCTGTTGCCTTGCTGGTTTGAAAAAGCCAGCTTCTTTTAGATTCCTAATGCCAGAAAATAAATCTGCTCCTCACAAACTCTTTGAAGGTCCTTTGTGATTGTCAACAACAACAATAAAAAGGAAAGTTATTCTAAATAGTCAAAGACATTGATTGCCTTCTCACCCAAGCCTATTTGATTGATCTAGGTTGTTCTAAGGCAAGCACAATTAAAATTAGGAAAAGATGGATAGTTTGAAAATTGTAGGTAGGGTATAAAATTGGGTTTTAAAACCGTGCTTGCAAACACATAAAATTGTGTAGAAACAAACAGAACAAAAATCCACTAAGTTTTTTGAGGAGGATGTATTGATAAGTATTCCACAGGCCTGACTTTAAAGAGTGCATTCTTTGTTCTTATGTTCTTCCTTTCATGTTCTTTTATTTCTTTCATATTTTCTTACTCTTTTCTTCTTTTCCTCGTTTATTTTTGTTTTGGCTTTCTTAATTAGAGAATTGTGTAATTATATACAACAAAATTTTAGGTGTATAATTAGATTAAATTTGAGAAATATATACAGCCATGTAAATACAATAGCATGCCATGGTATATAACATTTGCCTCATCCCAAAATGTTATGTTTCTTTATCTTTACCACACTCTGGACCCTGGCAACCACTGATGTACATTCCATCACTATAATTTTGTCTTTCATAAAATTTTATACAATTAGCATCAAACTGTATGTAGTATTTTGTAACTGAATTTTTTTTTAACTTCACAGAATGTGTCCGAGATTCTCCAGGTTGTAACATACATCAATGATTCACTAATTTTATTGGTAAATATCATTACATCATGTCAATCTACCACACCTTGTTTATCTACTGAGCAGTTCATTAGCATTTAGTTATTATCTCTTCTTGGTAATGATAAATAAATCTGCAAGTCTTTTTGTAGCCATTAACTTTTATTTCTTTTGAGTAAATACCCAGAAGTGGAATTAGTGGAATTATTGGATCACAGGGTAAAGATATACCTTATATTCTAAGAAATCATCAAATTGTTTTCCAAGTTGGCTATGCTATTTTTATTCCCATCAGAAATATTTGAATGTCTCAATTACCTCATATATTTGCCAACATTTGGTATTGCTACATTTTTATTTAGTTTTAGCCATTCTTGTTCACATGTAGAGGTAATTCATTGTAGTGGTTTTAAAAATATATCCACAAATTTTTTGAAACTTCTCCATTAAAGAGGTGGAGATTTATTCTCTACCCTTTAAGTGTAGACTGTACTTAGTGATTTGCATCTAACAAATAGAATAAAGCAGTGGGAGAGACAGAGAGAGAGAGGGAGAGAGAGAGAGAGAAGAGAGAGAGAGAGAGAGAGAGAGAGAGAGAGAGAGAGAGTGTGTGAGTGTGTGTATGTTTTCTCCAAAACTAGGTCCTAGCCATTGGGACTTCCTCATTACACTCTGTCTTAGATTACTTAATCTTGGAGGAAGGAAGCTGCAATTTGTGAGTATCTATTTGGAGAGGCCTGAGTGGCAAACACTTGAAGTCTCACACCAACAACCAACCAAGAAACTAGGACTGCTAACAACTGCATGAGTGAGTGGGAAGCTCATGAAATGACTGTAACTGGCTGACAGTTTGATTGCAACCCAAAATGACCCAGGTAAATTGCTCTTAGATTCCTGACCCTCATAAACTGTGACATAATAAATGTTTATTTTTATGCTAAATTTTGGTGAAATATATTACTCGACAATAGTGAATATTTATGGTATTAATTTTCAGTTCTGTAATGACATAATATTGAGAATCACTTCATGTGTTTTTGATATAATATTTCTTTCTTGTTTTTTGTCACCCAGGCTGGAGTGCAACGGTGCAGTCTCTGCTCACTGCAAGCTCCGCCTCCGGGATTCAAGCAATTGTCCTGCCTCAGCACCCCCAAGTAACTGGGATTACAGATGCCTGCCACCACACCCAGCTAATTTTTGTATTTTTAGTAGAGACAGGGTTTCACCATGTTGGCCAGGCTGGTCTCGAATTCCTGACCTCATGATCCACCGGCCTCGGCCTCCCAAAGTGCTGGGATGACAGGCATGAGCCACTGCACCTGGCCCATATTTCTTTTGAGAAGTTTCTGTTTAAATCTTCGAACATCTTTTAATGGGTGGTCCAGTTTCATTCTGAATTTACAGGTTTACATTTTGAACTATATTCTCCAAGTGCATGCTTATCATTTTATTATTTTAATGATATTTCTTGAGGAACAAATGTTTTTTTTTAATTTTAAAGATGTATAAATTATCTTTTTTCATTTTACAGTTTGTTCTCTTTGTATCTTTTAGAAAAAAAAATAAGTCATGGATATTTTCTCCCATGCTTTGTAATAGAACTTTCATAGATTTTGCTATTGTATTTAGATCTTTTCTCCATTTTAAGTAAATTTTTGTATATAAGATAGTGGTCAAATATTATTTTGTTCTTTCTTTCATATAGATAGTCAATTTTTTTCATTATTTGTTGAAAATATATTCCTTTCCCTACAGAATTGTTTTGGTTCCTTTGTAGAATCATTTGATCAATTATGTATTTGTGAATTTGTGGGCCTGCTATGCTGTTCCATTGGTCCATATCTCATTCTCATATGAAAAATGTACTGTCTTGAATACTAGCTTTATAATCTCATGAGACCAGCTGGTATGCATCATCAAGCTTTGATTTTTAATTTTTTTTTTTTTGGCCTATTCTAGGTCATTGACATTTATATTTAATTTTAAACATTCGTTTACCAATATTTTGCCAAAACCAAAAATGTGTTATGGTATTTTAAGTGGAATTACAGTAGATTTCAATCAATTTTAGGAGAGAACTAATTTGAATTCCTGGTTAAATCAAACTTGGTCATAACATATTATACATTTTAAATGTTGTTGGATTTGATGATACAATATTTAGAAATATTTTTATGTTTATAGTTACCTTTTCTATGTCTGAAAATGTCAAAAAATAGGTAAATGAAAATAGGCATGCTGGACTTAATACCTAGGTGATGGGTTGATAGGTGCAGTAAACCATCATGGCACTCCTTTACATATTTAATGAAACTGCACATCCTGCACAGGTACCCTGGAACTTAAAACAAAAAGAAAAAGAAAAGAGAAAATAGACATTTTTATACAGACATTTTTTACTAGCTATAGCATTCTGGATTGTCAGGTTTTTTGTTTTTGGTTTCTGTTTTTTTTTTTTTTTTTTGGCTTGTTTGTTTACTTTGCTGTTTGCTTTTGTCTTTAATTACAGTATTTTAAAGAAACAACCAACATTCTTTTGTTTTGCTTTGTTTCTGATAAGATGTCTAATAGCATTGTCCTTTTCCCTCTGGGTTTTATTTATTTTTGACTGCTTTTATGACTTTTTTTCCTTATTGGTGATTCCAGCAATTTGATTGTAATAGCCCTAGATGTGTGTGCTATTTTTTTCTGCTTTGTGTTTATTGAGTTTTCTAGATATATAACATTATACTTTCATCAAATTTAGAAATATTCTAGCTATTATTTTTTCAAAAATCTTTGGTTTTTTCTCCCTTATTTTCTAAGTAAGGACTAAATTTACACTTGTATTAGGTTGCCTGATATTGTTATATAGCTCATTAGTGCTCTATTTATTTTTTTTTCTCAATCCGTTCTTATTACATTCACTTTTGGATAGTTTCTATTTCTGTGTTCAAGTTTACCAGTATTTTCTTCTGCAGTTTCTAGAATTAATCTTTTCCAGAATAATATGGAAATTTTATTTCTGATATTATGTTTTTTACAACTGTAAGTTAATTTTATGTCTTTTTTATACCTCCAATTTTCTTCTCTTTTTTATTATACTTTTCTTTTTGTGATGGGAAATAGCTCATCTTGTGACTAAATGTGTTCATGAACAATTACAAAAAGAAAAGCCCTCAACCAAGTTAAATATTAAGTGCAAAGATATTTGTAGAAAAAAGTATTTGTAAACTAATAACAGAACACTTCATCTCACTAACTATTGAGGGAATAACATTTAAATAATTGGTACAATTTTTTTTCCAAACTGTTTAAGAAAAAAGAAATTTTGAAGTTTGATAAAACTCAGTGTTTGTGGGCATATGGGTGGAAAACACTCCTGCCATATTTGTGAAAATAAAAATTGACATGTCTTTGGAATAAATTTTATAGTGTTTGCCATGTGAATTGGCAATTTTACTCTCAACAAATACATTCCATGATTATAATAACATGTGTGCAAAGATATGGGCAAAAATTCTCATTGCATATTATTATTATTATTTGAGACGGAGTCTCGCTCTCTCACCCAGGCTGGAGTGCAGTGGCACAATCTCAGCTCACTGCAACCTCCGCCTCCCGGGTTCAAGCAATTCTTCTGTCTCAGCCTCCCGAGTAGCTGGAACTACAGGCATGCGCCATTATGCTGGAGTAATATTTGTATTTTTAGCAGAGACAAGGTTTCATCACGTTGGCCAGGCTGGTCTCGAACTCCTGAACTCGTGATCCGCCCATCTCAGCCTCCCAAAGCGCTGGGATCACAGGTGTGGAGCCACTGTGCCCAGCCTGAACATTATTTTTAAATACAAATGATTAGTGTTTCCAAATACTGACTACATGTACATATACTTTCCTCCAAGTGGTTGGAAAATAGCATATATGAGAGAGAGAGGAGACAGAGAGAGAGCGAGAGAGAGAGGAGAGAAAGAGAGAGAGAAATTTGATGAGATACCCTTGTGGTCTGGATCCAGAGTTTTAGGTAGGAAGAAGGTACACTTACAGATTTCATCATGCATCCCTTAGCAATACTGAAATTTTCCTACAAGACTTTGTGGGTTTCATATTTTTAAGACATATAGCTAGTATGTAGGAGTTTTTGGTTGTTGTTGTTCCGTTTTTAAATGCAGCACAGTTTTACATTTCCCTTTTTCTCCATCTGACATTTCAGAACATTCTGGCTGTTTTCCTTTTGTTTCCTTTCCTGTCCTGAGATTTATCTCTTTTTTCTCGCCACAAATTTCACCCTATCTTTAAAATTTAGGCTTCATTCTTCAAGGAGGATATTGGACATGAACTTGTCTGAGGGGTAGTGTTTCTCAATAGACTTGATGGCTAAGACTGATCCTTGACTTGTGCATGGATGGGAAAGGCTCTTGGATGGGACATGGAATTGGCCAGATCACATAGGATAATATAATATTTGGGTAAAATTTATCTGATAAATATTTACTATATCAGTAGGAAAATTCAGTAAAACATTCATCCTATACTGTTAGTCTATATGCAGGTCATTAGTCGAGTCCAATACCGTATACAAAAAATTCTGTATGTCTCTTGTACTCTACAATTCTTCTCTCCAGTTTCCTTCTGATAAATGAATTAATGTTTATATTTCAGTGGACAAAACTGGGTTTAATTGATAGTTCAAGATGTTGGAAGAGTCACTATTCAGATTCAGGGTAATAAAACAATAATAATAAATATCATCTTAGTACAAGTGCCAGCATATTTTGGGGTTTTATGATTATTAAAATATTATTAGGATGGATAGGTCATTGTCTTGCCTGAGGATAAGAGCAGCATTTCTAGAACTCACGTACAGCTGTAGTAGTGGTTAATTATGACATCACTCTAAAACAATGAAACTAAATAAAGTCATTTTCTCACACTGAGCAATTTAGCTTTTATCTTTACCCATGTTATATTTTGGTGTCTGTTTCTCATATGTTTAAGCCTAAACCATAGATATTGATTGATTCTACCAAAATCTGAAGTGTTATTTTTAATCCTTATACCATAGAAATTTTAGAAAGATAGAGGTATTTTATGTATGGATTAGTATGCTATAATCTTTACACATTACAAAAATTCTTTTAGTTATTTTTTAAGGTATGGCAAAACTTCATGGTGTGTGTGTGTGTGCGTGTGTGTGTGTGTATTTGCCCTTTAAAGTAATTTATTATACACTTTTCTAGATACTGAGGCTAAAGAGGTGAAGAAGCTAGATAAATGTTCTATCTTCATGGAATTGATACACCAATGTAGGGAGACAGATAATATAAACATGCCTACCTAAACAAGCAAACAAACAGGGCTACTTCACATAGTCATGATTGCGATAAAAGGGAAGAATGAAAACAAAGTAAGGACTCAAGGGATGCACAGCTGAAAAATTACGTCTTCTTGTAAAGAGGGGGAAGATGGGAGTAGTTGATTGAGCTAGGTTCTAAATGACGAGAAGGAAGTAGACAAGTGGAGGTTGAGGGTACAATGTATTTCATACGCCTAGCGCACAGGTGTTTATTGAGCCAACTGAAATTTTGAGCTAGACTGAATGATATAACCAAATAATCAGGTAATATGATATAAACAACATTAATTAACAACTCAATGTCAGAGCTAAAACAAACAATGGGGGAAAAAAGAACACTTTTAAGAAGACACATCCCAAAACAGGCAAGGTATTTTCTTTTTTTCTGGCAGTGTTTTTTTCTCTAGGTGTGCTGTGAATATAAAGGATCTGCATATATTGACTGACTTAAGTAAGTCTGTAAGGTGTAGGCATTTATATTTTATTTGTTTGTGGTACAAATAATATATGTAGTGCCTAAGACAGATATTCAAAGAAAAGTGCCTACTTTTTTCTGACATGGAAATTCACATAGACTTCAGAATCAAGAAGAGTTTGTTTAGAATCTTGACTTTGCTTCTCATTGCCTCATGACCTTTACCAATAGTTTAACCTAATTCCCCACTTTCTTATTTATTAAATGGGACTATTGACACATTACTCTAGATCTGTTGGATGAAATGCATAAGACAAGGTATATAAAACACTTATATAAAATAATTATTGTTTTTGCAGAAGATAATAGAATGTATAATTTGAAAGAGAAATCAATATTCGCTGCTGCTTCTGTAACAAATTGCTTTCCAAAAAAGAAAGAAGAAACAGCTTAAATTATTATCTACTGTCAGTGTCAATTTTAAGGCCATCAGATCAAATATACCTTGAGGTCAATAAAAAATGTTTTAAATCATAATAAAATGCTTTGTAACTGTGATATTTTATAATTAATATATATAATTATATGTGTATATTATAGATTGTTCAAATTAATTCTTTTTATCATAGGTACATTTCTTATGTTTGTAATTAATCCTTTACTGTTACAATTTTTTATCCTCTACTGTTATATATATTCTACTCTAAAATTGTTATGCAATATTTAAATACGTAAGAAACTGATAAGATCTTTAGAAAGAACTCACAGAAAGAATTTTCTTCTACTTCCTTGAGCTGTTGTCTTTTTTCTCTTCTTGGTAGTATCAGGTGAGTGCCTGCAGGAACCAGGCAAATATCAATATTGGCAATCTAGCTGAGCTATCACATTTTTTGTTTTTAATACTAAGGATAAAAGTTCAAGATGTTTAAGTGCCATAAAAATTCTGTACAAAATTAATATAGGTAAAAATATAATCATTTACTAGTCTTATGAATTACCTACCAGTAGACAAGTTAGCTACTGTAATGCTCAAATATAAGCCTCTACATCTATAATGAGAGTACTAGTGCATGTTTACTTCTTTGCGTGTTTACTAAAAGGGTTAATAATAATATGTATTTTAAAACAACGATTACAATATTGTTACTCACCTGTTGTTATACATCAGATTTTTTGAGACAATGATTACAATATGATTCTTCACCCATTTTTATATATTCAATTTTTTTTTTGAAACTTTCAGAAAACAAAACATCGCAGGACAATACAATAAAGTAACAAATGATTTAGCCTTTGCTTTGCCAAGACCAGCAAGATCTTCCCTCTATGCACCAAAGCAATAGAATGCATTGCACTGACGGAGAAATTGAATTTGGAGAATAATCTAGGAAAAAGATATCCAATGACATAATGAATTATATTGGGGTGGGACACCTCTAGATATAACTGCAAAATCTGATTAAATAATGGTATTCAACTTCCAACTAATACAAATGTTTTTCTCATAAGAATATTTTTAATTTATTTTAATATTACAACTTCTCTCTAAGTGTTTTGCTTACTTATTTGATAATTATTCATATCTAGCAGCTATAAGCCCAAGAAAATTTTACCTCTAACTCTGGTTCATTTAATTCATGAAAGTCCTACTATTTTACAGTGAACATCACCTATAATTCCACTGTAAGTACTGTTTTATTATTAGGGTAACATACACCCTTAGAAAACACCAAGTTTTAGAATTCCTTCCATGGAAGTAAGAGCTGGGTTTAGGAAAGAGCTTGGAATCACCACAAAGGCAGCAAATATGCTTAAAGAATCCATGATTTTCCAAATGAACAGTCATTCGATAGCAGCTTCCTTCTCTCAGATGTGGGTAGTCATTAAAAATCCATTAAAAAATCAGCCTACATAGATTGTGATTTTCTTTTAGAACAGGAACTCAGTATTCACCAAGAGGAAGCAAATATGAAGGCAAGGTGGGAAAGCTAAGAGAATACATGAATATCCATGTAACAAGCATGGATATTCATTTAACTACTAATCATAGGTGGAATAGGATCAATAAACAAAAATCATGGGTTAGGGACTTAGATACACAAGTTTAAATCTCAGCTCTGTGTAAACTTGAAAAAGTATGTGACGTCTCATTTGTATTTGAACACATATGAGGGTGTGAGGGACTGATTGCCGTCTCTGGCAAATACATGCTCAAAAATTCTAAGCAGAGTGACCATGGTGATGATGGCAGCTGTGGTGATGGTAAAGAAAATGAGTTGGAGACTACTGAACCATTAATCTGCTCCCAAACGATTCTGTTCTCAAAGCTCAAAGTCATGACCAACATGACATATCAGATTTTGATAACAGAATTCCACTTTGACTTGTCAATTCATTTAGCACCACCATGGTATGCACCCCTGCCATTCTTGTTCATCTTATACAATGAAGTTCTTTCTATAATATTTTATTGAACTCTCATTTTTATAACTATTTGGTTTTTCTTTTATCGTCCTCATACTCTTCCCTCCAATATTTCAAATTTAATTTATGAAATGGTAACATCATATAAAACAAATTCAACTCATATTCTCAATCACATTCAGAATGCCCACTCCACTCTTGGCACCTCCAACTTACATAAAACTTAGCTTACACTTAAAACTAACTAGAGGGAAATATTTTAACCATGACAATTTTTTAAAGTGGAAGAAAGGGATAAATATTTAACATTTTTTCTTCATGTAGAAAACTAAAATTCTATAGCAAGTGGCCTGAACCATATATCTAAACATTTAGGATATCTCAACAACACAAAGTGACTTTGTTACTAGACAAATTATTTAGGGAGCATAAGATGATTGGCCAAGATTTAGGTAGATTATTCTGTGTAATGAAAGAGGGCATCAACTTAGGAGAAATAAAGGGAGTATCAATATATTGTGCAAAATGTTGAAAGAAACATACATATAGTTGCAGTAGGCAAAGCCTTATAGCATAGAGACATTTGAGATGATCTCTAGATTTGGAGGTGGCAGTTTCTCTGGACTTCTGTTCCTCAAAAAACTGTGAATGCTTTGTCACATTTTCTTATAGGTGAGTAGAAATAGGCAAAATGTGGTAAGGAAACCTTCCTGGTTAGGAAAAAATGAAAGTCAGATCTGTTTACTACTAACAGAACTAGCTTATCTAAAATCATGGGATGAATAACTTAAATGGGAATGCACCATGTAATGCCTAGAAATCTAAGAGAAGTGTTAAGAATTCAAGTGCTAGGAAAAAAAAAACTGAAAGAATACATTATTTCCTATTAGGCAAATACTAATCTTGAAAAACATCTGATACCTTTTGAAAATATATTAGACTCATAATTCTGCAGATGACCCTTGGCAAAATAGTTTAATCATTGGATATAATTCAGGGTCCCCAGTATATAAAACAATATCTATAATTAATTAATTAATTATGTTTTTATGTATGTATTTTGAGAATAAGTCTCACTCTGTTAGCCAGGCTGGAGTGCAGTAGCACAATCTCAGCTCACTACAACCTCTGTTCACTACAACCTCCACCTCCCGGGTTCAAATGATTCTCCTACCTCAGCCTCCTGAGTAGCTGGTACTACAGGCATGCACCACCACACTCGGCTAACTTTTGTATTTGTTTTTAGTAGGGATGGGGTTTCACCATGTTGGTTCAGGCTGATCTTGAATTCCTGACCTCAAGTGATCTGCCCACCTCAGCCTCCAAAAGGGCTCGATTACAGGCGTAAGCCACCGCACCTGGCCCAAGATCTATATTTTGTTAACTTATTGTACTCAAAGTACAGCATTATCTAAACAAATCAGCTAGAAATGTATTGTAATCTAAATGATAATCAGATCCTACTTACAATGCAGAAAAGTACCCTTTTGTTTCCTAAGCCATGCACTTAGAGAGGTTAATATGTTGGCACATTTTGGGTAGTTAGCCTGAATGATATTTATACAGAAGGGGTAATTCCCTTAAATGAGCATTGTACAAAATGATATTACATTTAAAAGGTAATAACAATTTCATGGAAAATTGCTTTCCAAAATACACAGAGAACCAACAATAATATGTTTCAAGTGCACAAATTACCTAAGTTGTCTCCAGTAGCATTTTAGATACATTTGAAAAGAGGCATTTGTTTGCTTACAATATTAAATATCCTATTAAATCGCTGACACCTAGTAGACAAATATTATCATCAGAAGCAATGGTAAAAATTTTAGGAGATTATTTCCAACTGCCATGAGAGAAAAGCAGCAGAAAAACTGCTCATTTTTTTTCCAAGAAGAAAATTGAAGTTACAAAAATCAAAGTAACCTGACTAAAAAGTATATTACCTGGAAAGTTTGACTTTGGAGTTTCCATTGTTTCTTAGCACCGTTTTATTATAGGTATATGGACAAATAGGTTCCTTAGTCTAAAATAGCAAATGAAATCTGTCATATCTGTGGAGGTTCATGCTGATGCTTACCTAGAAAAAAGTTGTCTTCTGAGAATAAGGTATTCAGAAGCCTGTCCACCCATCCACATATTTAGAATGAGGAGCCCCGGATAAGCAGGAAGAGCTAATGCTTTTCTTGTAGTGAAGACATAGAGGGTTTCCCCAGGAGGATTTTATCAGTATAGCATGGACTAAGGATAAGCAGTTATACTTCCTCAAGAATTTTCTGAGAGAACTTATCCCAGGAGAGACAAATGGTTCCTCTTGGAAGTAAAAACCTTAGCTATGGACTGTAATATATTGGTAGGAAAATAAATTGTTACTAAATTTACTTTCAGTAGATTTCATTGTCAATGTATATTAAAGCCATAAAATACTATATTTAACTTCAATGTAAAAGTATTTGAAAAGTCACAAAAGAAGTGTATCATTTGGATACAAGATACCACTCAGAGAATTTATCTAAGATGGTTAATAGTAGATGTGCATATTTATGCACAAGGATACTCACTGTAGCGTAGTTTATATGAGAAAAATGTTGGAACTAACCAAAGTGGTCAACAAATGATGATTTGCTAAATACTTTATCATTAATAATTCTAGTTTAGATACACATTAATAGACACATGAAGTTTTTTCACTATATACTAGGTTTAAGGAAGCAGTTCATAAAATATTATTAATGTGACCACTTTTACAAAAATATTCTTTTATATGCATAGAAAAAACTGCAATATTTACAGCAAAAGTGTTTAAATCTGGATTTTGAGGTTGCAAACAATGACAATTCTACTATCTTCATTATCTATTTTGATTGCAATAAAATATGTATTACTTGCAAAAATAAGATAACATTTAATGAAAAAGACGAATCACATCAACTTCTTCAATATTAAATGAAAGTTAATAATATCAGGACAGGAGATACAAGAATGTTCGAAATGAAACGCAAAGCAATGTAGGAAAGATACTCACCACATCTAAAAAATGCAAAATACTCATATATTGAATATTTAAATAACTTAAATGAATGGCAGACAGCATAATAGAAAATGACAAGAAATTTCAATATGTCTTTTATATGCACACAAAATAAAACCATATATGAATAGCCAAAACACAAAATAAAAGTTGATGAACTCATTAGTTTTGCTTGAAATGCAAATTAAAATGACTAAAGGGGGTTTCCACTTTCTATAATATCAACATTAAACAAAACTGCCATCAGATAAAAGTTATAAACTCTGGAGAAATACATAGATATGAAAAAAGAAATATGAAAACACTAAAAAACAATGAAGAGCAGACATCGCCAGGAGAGTAGCTCACAGGAAAGGGAATAACACAGGTGAATTTGTAATTTTTCTTGGTTTTTCATCTGAGGACAGCCAATGCTAAACTGACTCAAACTTAGATACAAACAGGTATTATTACTGACCAAAGAATCAATGGACAGTTTTAGAGGACAGCACAGATGCTGAAAACTTAAGAAATCTCAGAAAGGACAGACCCAAAGAAGGGAAGCTCCAAATTCTGCATATAAACTATACAAATCACTGGCTGATCTCCAAACTCCACATGTGTGGGGCAGAATCCAATAATGAAAAATCTGAATAAAGATTTCAGATGCTCCCCAGAGCAGGAGAGACAGAGTTTGGAGTTTCGCTGCAGCTGAGTTAAGTGCCCATTAAAGCAAAAAAGTAATACTTTTCAGAGTCATAACAGAATCCAAAATCACTAACACATAATTCATAATGTCCATGGTACAATTCAAAACTATTAGACCTACAAAGGTATAAGAAAATGTAGTCATTCTATAAGAGAAAAATAAAACCATAAGAAGCAGCTTTTAGGTGAGGAAGATGTTTGAATTAGTACATACAGATTTTAAAGCAACAAATACATTCCTGTTCAAAGACTTTTATATACATATATATAAAATATACATTATGTATATAATACATAATATATATAATATATATCATATATTATATATGATATATATTATGTATATAATACATATTATATATAATAAATATTTATTATATATGATATATATTATGTATATAATACATATTATATATAATAAATATATATTATATTATATATAATAAATATATATTATATTATATATAATATATATTTATATATAAATATATTATATATAAATATATATTATATATAAAATATTTATATATTATATATAAATATATATTATATATAAATATTTATATATTATATATAAATATTTATATATTATATATAAATATTTATATATTATATATAAAATATATTATATATATTATATATATTATATATTATATATAATATATTTAATATATAATATATAAACATATATTATATATAATATATAAACATATATAAATATATTTATATATAATAGATAAAAATATATATAATATATATAACATATATAATACATAATATATATAAAATATATATTATATATATAATATATATATATTTGCCAACCAAGAAATCTCAGCAGGGAGGGAAAAACTGTATAAATAAACCAAATGCAAATTCTAAAGCTGAAAATTACAGGGGAAAAAAAGGTTAAAAAATAAATAGAGCCTAAGTGATGTGTGAAGCAATATCAAATGGTATAAGGTATGTGTAATGGGAGACCCACAAGGACAGTAGAGAGAGACTCAAAAGAAAAAAAAATAACTACTAATAAAAAGGTGAAATTCTCTAAATTCATTGAATGACATACATTAACAAATTAAAAAATTCCAACAAACCCTAATCAGGAGAAATATAAAAACCAAAACAAACAAACAAAAAGCCATGCCTAACGTCATCATACTTAAATTGCTGGTAGACAAAAGGAGCAGGAGAAGGAGAAGGGCTTCTGGGATTCCGACAGCAGTCTATTTCTTGACCTGGGTGAAGTTATCTATTTACTTTATGTAAATTCAATGAGCTGTGACTTTATTTGGGGGTGTGTGTATTTATGTGTTTATGTATTTTATATTTTATTAAAATGTTAAAATAAAAAAACTAGGTTTCTGCTTTATCTGTAACATTTAAAGAGCTTGGAGGTTGTTGTTCCTATCCTTAAAAAAACAAGAAGCTAGACAAACTGAAAATCAAGATTTTTGTTCGGACCCATAGAGAATTACTGCCACTAGAAAACCACTACTTTGAGAAGTGGAGGGCCAAGAGCATCAAGAGAGATGGAGCCAAGTCTATTTACCAGAATTATAAGACACTGAAAGTCATAAGTGCTACGTGCATTTACTTCATATATATATATATATATATATATATATAGAGAGAGAGAGAGAGAGAGAGAGAAAGAGAGAGAGAGATGCATGAAGTAATATATTTATACGTGTGTGTGTCTGTGTGTGTATATATATATATATGTACAGAGAGAGAGAGAGAGAGAGAGACATAGAGAGAGACAGGGTCTCCTCTGTCACCCAGGCTGGAGTGCAGTGGCACCATCATAGCTTCCTGTAACCTCGAGCTCCTAAGCTCAAGTGATCCTCCTGCCTCAGCCTCCTAAATAGTGGGCACTACAGGCACGTGTCACCCTGCCTGGCTAATTTTTAAAATTTTTTGTAGAGATGGTGTCTCACTGTATTATCCAGGCTTGTCTCAAACTCCTGGCCTCAAGTGATACTCCGCCTTGGTTTCCAAAAGTATTGGGATTACAGACATGAGACACCATGCCTTCACTAATAATTTTGATGAATTATGGATGGTTGAGAACAAATAATAGTGAACATTTTTTTTTAAAATGGCAGCTGAAAATATGTAGCTGGGATGAGTTGTGAGATGGGGTCACACTTCCCTGGGATTTTCTTTCAGGAACCCTATCTGGGTCCTATGGAGAAAGGGTTAGCCAAAGGCTAATACTAAAACCTTATACCCTACTGAGGTAGGGATTTCTATCTCATTCAAGATGTCCCCGGCCTTCCTCTTATACCTAAGGTAAAGAAGCAACGGCAACGCATTAAACAAATATACTGAGGTTGCTGCAGCTAGGAAAGTAAGCAGAGGGGAGTTCGTGAAGGAGGAGATGTGTAGCTAGAAGAGGGACAGAACACTTGTGGAGGCTAAACTCCTGAGATAGATGTAACCCCACTAGAACACTAAGACATAATCAGAAGATTATGGAATGGACCCTTCCCTCATACCCTACCACTGCACCAAAAGGGACCCAGAAAATTAAGAGTGGATTATAGCTAAAGGTGCCACAAGATACAGATTCACTCAGAGGAGAAGTACTTAGGGAAGCCCTAAGTCAAGAGAATTGATGCAAAGAAAAAAAAAGACACTAGAATAATTTGACATCTCTGGTACATACAGATAGAGCAAACATTAAACACTGCCCAACTCCTAGCCAACTAATGCAACTGCCCAACTCCTAGCCAACTAATGCAAATTCTCAGAGTCAAGGCCTGTTTAACTGAGTTATATTGCGGATAGAACATGTTCAGCTTTCAACAACAACAACAAAATTACAAATTATGAAGAAAATCCAGAACAAAGTCTGAAGAGACAAAGCACTCATCAGAAACAGATTTAAATATGATGAAGCCATGGGATTTTAAAAACCTATGACTAAGATTGCTGGTTGGGGATGGTGGCTCATGCCTGTAATCCCTTTGGGTGGCTAAGGTGGGCAGATCATGAGGTCAAGAGATGGAGACAATCCTGGCCAACATGGTGAAACCCCATCTCTACTAAAAATACAAAAATTAGTTGGGTGTGGTGGCACGCGCCTGTAGTCCCAGCTACTCAGGAGGCAGAGGCAGGAGAATAGCTTGAACCCAGGAGGCAGAGGTTTCAGTGAGCTGAGATTATGCCACTGCACTCCAGTCTGGAGACAGAGCGAGACTCCATCTCAAAAAAGAAAAGAAAAGAAAAGATTGATATTGGCAAAAATAGACAACATGCAAAACTAGACAACATGCAAAACTAGATGTGTAATGTCAGCAGAGATATGAAAACTGTGAGAAAAAATTAAAAGGCAATCCTGAAAAAGCACTCTTACTGCTCAACAATAAGAAAATAAATAACTAAATTTTAAAAAGTTTAAGGTATCTGAACAAATATTTCACCAAATAAGATATACTAATGGAAATAAGAATATTAAAAATTCAACATTATTTTCCATAAAAGAAATGCAAATTCCGTAACAATGAACTATCACTAAACACCTATTAGAATAGCTAATAACAAAAAATTGACAATACCAATTTCTGGCACATGCTAAACAACATCTCATTTATTGCTGGTAAGAAGGCAAAATGTATAGCCATTTTGGAGGACAGTCTAGCAATACCTTTTAAAACTAAACGTAGTCTTAATTATATAATCTATCAATCACAATTGAAAGGTATCCACCTAATCTATTTGAAAACTTATCCACACCAAAACTTGCACACAAAAAATGTTTACAACAACTTTATTCACAATCACCCAGAACTGTGGATAAACTGTGGTATGAATATGCAATAGAATACTATCCAGTGATAACAATGAGTGAACTATTAATCCACAGAACAACATGTATGGGTTTGAAATGCATATTACTAAGTGAAGCAAGCTAGACTGAAAATGCTATAAACTGTGTGATTCCATTTATATGACATTATGGAGAAGAGGAAGAAGAGGGAGAAGAAGGAGACAGAGGAAGAAGAAAGTAGATTTGTATTTGCTTGAGGTGGAGGAAGAGAGGAGTGTTGAATAGCTAATGCATAGAAATATTGTTAAGGCAATAAAATTATTCTGTATGTTGCTGTAGTGGTGGATATATGACATTATTTATTTGCCAAAGGCCATAGAACTCTATAGCACAAATGAGACATACTGTATACAATTATTTTAAAAAATTAGTGAGTCTGGGATCCCAGCATAGAATGCAGATTAGAACAAAATAATATGACTGTATGACAAATCTATGACAACCTCACTGAACGTGTTATAGACAAGAAGGCCTGACCTCAATAACTTTGAAAATGAATAGAAGTATAAGACTAAAGGAAAAAGAAACTATCCATTAACACTGAACTCTAATTGGTAAACAATTTTTTTTTTCTTCTGGGTATGGGTTAATTATTTGGAAACTACTCTACATTTTTAGTGGGTTTGGGCAAAAAAGTGAATGGATGGCATATGGTGGGACTTACTTAGATTCTCACTCATTGGAGCAGGAGGTTAAAAGCAAATGAGAGAGAAAGTTGGAATTAACCATAAGATGTAAACTTAGAGTTGGAGATATAGATGGGTAAATATAGAAACAATTATAGAGGTCTTTGTGTTGTATAAACAGATTAGTATACATAGATATATTTCCCCAGGCTCTGTCCAGTGAAAGAGCAAAGATATTCCAATAACAATGAACACAACCAGCACCCAAAACTAGATTTCAAATTTTATTGACTAATAAAAGGAACAAGGTCTCCTTAGAGAAATGGCTGATTCTTGTCCTTGGGCAGTGAATACATGAGGTAAGCCTAGAGTCATTTGCAGTTCCTAAAAGTAAGGAAATGTTCAACAAAGACGATAATGGGGATGCATCAAGGTGACAGAGGAGCCAAATAAAAGAACTCCCAATGGCAAAGCTGGAAACCATTAAAGCAACAAAATAATGTATTAAGAAAATTAGTGTAGTACTAGATTATAATCCAAGTTATAAAATAAATAGCTATGCTTCTAAATGAGTAAATAAATAAATGGAAGAGAATAGGCAAATTTCCCATACAAAAAAAAATAATTTATGTAGATATTCTCCTTAAAAGGTAGTGGAATATAGCTTTCACGCCTTGAATGTAATGTGAACATTGCAATTTCCTTCCAAAGACTACAGTATGGAAAGAAGGGAAATGGAGCAATTTGAGTGTGGAATGACCCAATAAGCCCTTCCTCAGAACAGGTGCTCAAAGTCAATATCAACAGTGATGAGTCACATTAATCATATGTACCCTAGACATGATGTGATGAAAATGGTCCTTTCTCTTTGCAGTCTTCCTCCTAAGAAACTATAGCTTAAGTCTGAGTAGCAGAAAAACATTAGCAAATCCATATTAAGAGACATTCCAAAACTGGATCAGTATTGCTCAAAACTGCCAAGGTCATCATAAAAAATAAAAGTCTGAGAAATTGTTTTAGCATAGAGGAGCATACAGAGATGTGATATAGCTAAATATAATGTGGCATCATGGATGGGATCCTGAAACAGAAAAGGAATATTATGGAAAAACTAAAGTAATTCAAACTAAGTGAAGACCTTATCTTAGTTAATAATATACCAACATTGGTTTAGTCAAGCGAGGTGGCATATGCCTACAGTCCCAGCTACAGTTTGGGAGGCTGAGGCAGAAGGATTATTTGAGGCCAGGAGTTTGAGGACAGCCTAGGTAACATAGTGAGAACCCTGTCTTAAAGAAAAGAAAGAAAGGAGAGAGAGAGAGAGAGAGGGAGAGAGAGAGAGAGAGAAAGAAAAGAAAGAAAGAAAGGAAGGAAGGAAAGAAAGAGGAAAAGGAAAAAATTAGTTTATTAATTGTGACAACTGTTTCCTATTAGTGTAATATGTAAATAAGGCAACTGGGGGTGACGTACATTGAGACCTTCTGTACCCTTTGCAACTTCTGTGTAAATCTAAATCTACTCATTAAAAAGTATATTTTAGAAAGTAAAAACAACAAACAATATTCCATGACACATTCTAAAATATTCTACAATCAGATTTTCTTCATTATTTTTTGCTTTAAGTTACACAGTTATGTTTTTTACTTGGGACAGTGATTGTATTCATCATCTGCTTCCTAGAACCCTTGAGTATAAGGTGCATGGCTGAGTCTACTAGTTGACTGCTCACATGGGCTGAATCAGCAGGAAGCATGCATCTAGGAATCTATTCCTCATCATTTGCCAAGAATATCTAATACAATCATTTCCGCTGAGGCCATAAGGCTAACTTACTTTGTTTTCTTTTTTTGTTTGTTTGTTTGTTTGTTTGTTTTTTTCAAAAGACACTATTTCAGGCAAACAGTTCTAGCCAGGGCCTTAAAACATGAAGGAATAGCTGAAACCATCCATGATTCCAAGTCTGACTGTCTTGGGTTAATTTATCACAGAAACTGAAATAATCAGAATGGGAGAAAGCTGAATCACTTATTTCATAAGGACTCAGTCAATGATTTCCCAGAAGGCAAGAATGAATTTCAGAGAGCAAAGGCATGAGATGAATTGCCAGGGCTTACAATCTATCTTGCAAAGGTAAGGATAACCAGAAATAAAATCTTAGATTAAAAAACAAAAATCTTAGAGAGAGAATAACTTTGTCTCTAATCCCTGTTCCCATTCATATTGATTGTTTCACTTCATTCCATCCCCTTATCCCTAGAGGTATATACGTTTATTTGTTATTTGTGTATCCTTTTAGTGTCTGTGAAAATACAAAAAATAAAAATAAAAACACATATATATTTCCCCATTTAATGCACAAAGTTAGCATAAAATATGCACTCATCTGTATCTTGTCTTTTTAATTTCTGATGATGACTGAAGAGCCCTATGCAAATCAGACTCTGTTCATTTCTATTGCTATTGCCTTGCCTTCAGTGTGGCTTAGCTACTTCCTGCCCTTGCTTCTTCAGACTATCTTCTATGTCATCTTCCATGTCCACTGCTAGCACTCACTTTCTTTTGCTTTGTATCACCCGTTTAAATTTCTGAATACAGAACATATGGCTAATTTAAGGAATTGCCATTGTCTCGGTTTTAATTGAGATTTTATACTCAACCACCTAACTTAAGGAGTTTTCTTCTCGTTAAGTTAGCTGTAGTCAGGTGATTGAAGTCAAGTGGAAGGAGCTTGGTCATCCTTACAAGAATATAATCAGCCAGCACTGCTCCCTGAATAGAGGCTGTGGGCTTCGCTGTTTCTCTAAGAAGAGGGTGGTGAACATGAGAGAGAATTTGATTGGCCAACCTTTACATCTAGCTTAGTTGTCTCTTATTTATGTTACCTGTCAAATAAAAAACAGATGATTAACATACTGTTCCAGATTTTTTTTTTTTTGGAACTGGCTTATTCTACTTTGTATTTCTCACTACTCTCAAAATTCAAACCTCGTATGTATAACAAATCACATTCCCTTCAGAGATTCAACTTTTCTTTTCTTTTTCCCTGGTTTTTTCCTTCCATGTAAATTATCCTGACAGTGTCTTTCCTCATCTCCTAAATCCAAGGTAATTGTTCCTTTATCTGCAAACCTAAATGACTGTGTTTTCATTTCTGCTTTGTATTAACTAAAAGAAATTAATAAGCAAAGAATGATAGAAAGAACATGTAATCATTACATATATAAAGGACCAACTGGGTCCTGTGAATACATTAGAGCTTCTAAGTGCTGCTGATCTCTTGCTTCTCTCGCTGACACTGGCTAAAACAGCACAGGAAATAAATTGAGTGAGTATACATTTGTAATGATTTGCCTATTTTTTTCATTGGTATTGTTTCCAGGAAGAAATCATGGAATGGACGGGGGCAAAAATGAGCTACGTCATTATTGCCCCGAGTAGTTTAGCTAGGGCTTCTGTCAGCTGTGTACGTCAGAGCTCTCTGTCCTTTCTATCTTTCAGGAGGTTTGAAACCAAGAGGAAAAATCAGTGGAAAATAGAGTCAACAAAACACCTGGCAAAAACAGTGTTTTCTCTTTTTTTTCCCTCTAAGCACAAAAGGGACAGATACTTATGCAAATAAGTCACCAAAAGCACCTCTATTTACGGACGACATTCATTTAGACAGCTCCACAGTTCCACCTTGAGAGCCAATTTTCAGTTCACTTTGCAGTTACTGAACACAAAATTACTTAATTTTTCAAAAAACAAAAAAAAGAAATCCATGTCCTCTAGTCGTATAGCCTACAAATGTGTCATCTGTGAGTATATTAATTTCTACTGATGGGTCCAAGTTTAAAATTTTAAAGAAAATTAATTAGAGCATGTATTTAGGGATGATATCTAACTTCCAAGGGGTTAATGTAATTATTTTCACTTTTAAAAAATATGCACTCTGAATATCATGCATTCATCTAAAACAGTTATTGCTCAATGAATCAAGGAACTAACTGAAACTACTGGGCTAACAATGCTTTAATAAGTTCAGTCATTTATATCGAGCATAGCGCTACAAATACTACCTATTGCAGGGTAGAAATTCAGGGAGAGTTAACCAGACACTGACTCAATTTCAAAGACTGGATTGAGTTCTAGAAGCCTAAAGCCAACATAAGAACATAAAAAGCAGCCAGAAATGATTAAAGTGAAAATATGTAGATAGGGATATTGTTGCAGATACCAACATAGACATAGATAGCAAGGATGGGGCAATAGATAAACTATGCTAATGAGTTCAACTACACTAATACAAGATGGTGGAGCCTATGCAACTGGGAGTAGAGCATAAATATTCTGAAAACAAAATGGAGGTTACAAGAAATGTGGGAATTTTGAACATCAATTTTTTTTTTTAGGTACATTTTCTTTGGGGTGAATTGATCTGACTGAAGCAGGGCATGAGAAAGCAAGAAAGATGTATATTTTAAAGTTGTAAAGAAACTCCAAAGTACAAAATTCTACCCAGACATAAACCAATTTTATGTCAATATTAACTGATGGCCATGCAGTTTTTTTCTGGACCAGAATTTCTGATCTTTTTTACTGTTGTTATTTGAGACCAGATAATTCTTTCCTACAGGTGGCTGTCATGTGAATTTTAGGAAGTTTGCCAGCATGCCAAGCGTCTACCCACTAGATGCCAGTAGCGCCCCCTCCTCAGTTATGATAGTCAGAACTATCTCCAGACATTGTCAAATGTCCTCTCAGGAGTAAAACTGGCCCTCTGTCAAGAGCCACTGGTCTAGACCAGTTCAATAACTGAGAACCCACATAAATGCCCACTGGATTAATGGGCCTAAAGAGGATTATCTGTGGCGTTTGAGAAGTGATCCTTTAAACAGGAAATATTTATTATATAGACATTGTCAAGCATTAAAAGCTACAGATACTGGCAGTGCTGCTAGGCTTAAAGAAAGAGCAATAAACCTATCATATAGTATCATAGATAGGTGTAAGAGGGCAAAAACTTCCCATCAATTTCTCCTGGAGTCACATAGTGAAGCAGGAGGTGGGACTTGACTCTGGAGACAGGGCTTGGACGCCAGAACAAATTGAGGACTAGCTAAAACAAGGACCAGGTGAAAGCAGCCCTCCATAAGACATGCCTGCTAGTGTGCCATTGCAGTTTACCATTGCCATAGCAACACCCAGGAGTCATGGCTTCCATGGTAATGACCCAATAACCCAAAAGCTACTCTCCTTTCCCTAGAAGTTTCTGCATAAACTTCCCCTTAATCTACATGTAATTAAAAGTAAGTATAAATATGACTGCAACACTGCCCTGAGCTGCTAATTTCAGCACACTGCCAATGGAGTAGCGCTGCTCTGTAGGAGCAGTCATGGAGCTTTTTCAATAAAGCTGTTTTGTTCTACACTACCACTGGCTCCCCCTTGAATTCTTTCCTTGGTGAAGACAAGAGCCCTCATGGGCTAAGCCCCACTTTGGGGTTTTCCTGCCCCTGCATCAATAAGATTGGGATTCTGGGGATTCCTGCGCTTGCTGTGGGCCTACTTGGGCTATAGAAATTAGCAGCCAGACTGTACCATGTCAGAAACTGTGATAACACTGGCAAAGGTCAATAGTTTCTGGAATAAATAAGCAAGTTTCCACTCCTAATTTTTATATATATATATATATACACACACACAATTATATATATACACAACTATATATATACACAACTATATATATAACTATATATATACAACTATATATACAACTATATATATAACTATATATATAACTATATATAACTATATATATAACTATATATAACTATATATATAACTATATATATAACTATATATAACTATATATATAACTATATATAACTATATATAACTATATATATAACTATATATATAACTATATATATAACTATATATATAACTATATATACTATATATATAACTATATATATATAACTATATATATAACTATATATATATAACTATATATAACTATATATATATAACTATATATATAACTATATATATATAACTATATATATAACTATATATATATAACTATATATATAACTATATATATATAACTATATATAACTATATATATATAACTATATATATAACTATATATATATAACTATATATATAACTATATATATATAACTATATATATAACTATATATATATAACTATATATATAACTATATATATAACTATATATATAACTATATATATATAACTATATATATAACTATATATATATAACTATATATATAACTATATATATAACTATATATATAACTATATATATATAACTATATATATAACTATATATATATAACTATATATATAACTATATATATATAACTATATATATAACTATATATATATATATAGTTATTGTTTGCTTGCTTGCTTGCTTGTTTTTTGAGATAGAGTCTCGCTTTGTCACCCAGGCTGGAGTGCAGTGGTGTGATCTTAGCTCACTGCAACCTCTGCCTCCTAGGTTCAGGCAATTCTCCTGCCTCTGCCTCTTGAGTAGCTGGGATTACAGGCATGAGCCACTACACCCAGCTAATTTTTCTACTTTTAGTAGAGACGAGGTTTCACCATGTTGACCAGGCTGGGCTTGAACTCCTGGCCTCAAGTGATCCACCCACCTCGGCCTCCCAAAGTGCTGGGATTACAGGCGTGAGCCACCGCACCTGGCCTCACTTCTAATTTTTAGGCAACTTTCTACTCCTGATTTGTAGCTAAGAACAGAAGAGAATGTCACTTTTATCTTTCCCCTCCTTACAACTAGTAAAGGAACAAGGATATTTTTTAAATTTATAAAGAAGGAAAAGATAACATGTTATATTAAAGATGAAAGAAAATCTGAGAAGTAGTCATAAAAGAGTGACTGAGAGAATTTACCTAGTGCCTAGGCAGCTTTAGCCTAGACCAGATTAAGTAGTTTACTGAATAGAACTGTATATTTATGAGTCAGTGTTTCTAGAAAAGTTGGAATTAATAAATGGGTTTTGGTGTTGACAAAAAAGAGAGTCAACTTCATTGGAATCCATTTGTTTCTTCCTTTGATAAATGCAAACAAAACATCTGCTTACTAAATGCTCTATAATTTTGCAACAATCAATATCAACACAGCCCTGCTGTGTTTTGCTCAGCTCTCATGTAGATGAAAACACTGAATGTACTTGCTAGCAAACATAAAAATATATCCACCAAGCACATATATAAGTATACACATTAAGACCAAAATGAGGATGGTTTCAAAGAGAAAAAAAACAAACAAAAAAAAAAAACAAAAAAAAACAGACTTCATACCAAAAGGAAAAAGAAAAAAAGAGAGAGAATGAATTAATGACAGCCATCTTCCCTTTTTTTTTTTTTTTTTTTTTTTGGGTGAAGAATAATTATTTGCTATCATGTCTGGCCCAGATCTTCTGCAATTTTTTTTTTTTTTTTACATTTGTTTGGTGTGCCTATTCCCGGGCCATTATTTTGGCTAATAGTTCACACACACAATTTTCTTTAAAGTGATGCACTTGAGCTGATTAAAGTCAATTTTCTTTAAAGTAATGCACTTGATCTGATTGAAGTCACCGGATGTAGTGGATGTGCTGAGGTCTAGAGGTCCTGCACCCTAAGCTTTTCATGTCAATAAGTGACCAAAATTGCAATGATATATGCAGACCGACCCCATTGACTCTAAATAGGAAAGATTCTGTGGTGCAATTCATGTTCTGGAGCTCACAGTGGGATCAGGTTGAAGTTAGACTTCACCTCAGATCGCTCTCTCGCAGTTCTTTCCTCTTCTCCTGCTTCCCTCATGCCCTTACTTGGTACTCCTAAAAATACAGTAGCTCAAAAAATCTCACGCACACAAATCTTGTCTCAGGTTCAGCTTCTAGGAATATAGCCTAAGACACTAGTGTGTATCCTAAGTTCCTGACATTTTTGAAAAAATATTGATTAGGTTTTTCTCCTCAATAACAAATAGTAACCACCAAAATGTTAACATTCTTGTGAATTCATAAAGTTATGATTTAGTAAAGAGCTCTGACTGCAGGCAGAATGCTTGCTTCAAATTATGTCCAGTTAACAAGGAATGTGTAAACATACTCAAAATAAATAAGCATTTGACTCTTTAACACTTTGGATTTTTCCTTGATATATTTTTAAGGTTTTTCATAGACGTAGTAGAAAGTCAACAACATGGTATGATTCGAAAGATACCTTCAAGGCCACCGCCCAAACATTCTCCTCTGCCACTAAATCTTCTCCATTATCATATTCCAGTTTGAATAACCCATCATAACAGATTCAATTACTCCTATTAAATTATTGCCTTATCTAAAATTTAAGAATTTTCATTGAGAAAAAAAAAGAACCCTGATCAATGACTGAAGATGTGTAGGTCTGCTGCATGCCCAAGTTGTGATAGACTAAAAATCTGTGATCATTTTAAGTTGTTCTTTGCTATTTTGAAAGAAATAAAAATTGTTGCTCAAAATATTTTTGCAGGCCCCTTCTTCTATAAGGAAATATTCAAAATAATAAGATGAATGTATCAACATTTCTCTCAAAGGAAGAATTTAGTTTTAGCTGTTAATCAACTACATAACCATTTCCGATATACCCATATTTAGTCATTACTTAAAATATATCAACATTGTTTGCAAGGTACACATTAAATTTACTTTCTTCATCTTTCTTTCTAGGTATATTTATCCCAGTGGTGGGCATGTTTGCTTCATAATGTGTGCTCGGCTTTTAAACGCTGCTTTTGTACCTAAGAATGCCACAGCCAGAAATACTTTTTTTTTCTAGTGAACAATTGCAAAGCATCTATGTCAATGCACACAATGAAAGACTTTATTTTTCAGACTGTGAATGTGCAAAACAAGGAAAACTAGTTCTGATATGGAAACAATCTCAACTGATACATACACTTTTATGTTTAATTTTACTAAAATATCAAACATCATATCCTCACTATGAACTGTGACAAACAGTAGTTTTGCAAAGATGAGAGTTGAATCACTAAGATCTTGGCAATTGAATTTTTTACTTTTTTCTTTAACCACCTGCAGGACAAATGGGTAGGAAGAAATGGATGTAACAACGAAGGGAGGGATGGAGGAAGAGAGGGAAGAGACTCATTCTTTCCAATAGGAAAAACCAAAACAGAAATATGTTTTCATATAGCCTACAATGTTCACGTGCTAATTTTTTCCGGAGAATCAGGTTCTTGAAATATATGTATAAAACTAATTTGAACTGCCATTTTTATGTGCTTGCTGCTGAAATTCAATAAGAGATTATTAGAATTTTCAGTATGTTAGTTATAAATTTGAAATAAGCATCTATAGAGATGCTCATTTTAAAAATTATTTTCAACGATGTTTCCTTTAATTACCATATTTTAGTTTGCATGTTTTAATTAGCTACCCTTCAGATGAGTAACATACTCATGTATACCTTCATTCATTTGGTCTTAATGTTTTTTTAATTTGTTTTTTTTAATATTTTGTTATTCTCTGAGAGTTGGCTTAAAAAATTTTTTTAAGTGCAATCTTAATGTGGAGGGAAAGGAATCAATATTTGAGCAGGAGACACTTTCAGGGAATATGACTAAAAAAAACTAAAAAAAAACAAAGAAACTTCCTATGTAGCATTCTTTTTAAAATAGGCAAATTATAAAACTTCTTGGATAGAGTTGGAGGAAGAGGAAGGAATCTGCCCTTGAATTATTTATTCTATGCTGACAGCACCAAGAAAACTGTGTACATTACATTGATAATTGTGTAAGTTACACTGTTTACCTGGAGACAGACCACAAATCTTATTTAATCTTCTTTTTAAATGTTTTTATTTATAGAAATTTATGGAGTACAAGTGTAGTTTTGTTATATGAATAGATTGCATCCTTCTTTTTATCCATTGTGTCCCAAAGTATATGTTAGATTCTTAGCACATATTATCTTGTTTATTCCTTGAATTAATCCCACAAGGTAAACATTTATTTTCACGTAGTACAGAAAAACAAACTGAATCTCTGATGAGCAATAAAATGTGTCTGAATTTACTTCCAGTCACAGACTGATGGGATTACGTGAATAGAGGGAAAATAGAGCAGGGAAGGTGAACCCCTACGGATAAAATAGGGAATTCCCTCTTGAGAACAGAGTCCCAAGGTAGGATATGGCACAAAAGCAATCTTTTGAGTCTATTAAAATAATTAACTATCACAGGAATTGTAATTTTTATCTCATGTACGTTATGGAAATATTTACACATTTCTAATCAGAGGTCAATATGATTAAAACAGCAAATGAAAGGTAAAAAGCATTAGAAAAATGATTGCTTTTCTTCCTAGACTAATAGGAAATATGCACATAAAGTTTACTTTTTCATGTCTAAGCAGTTATAAAGGTGAAGCAATGTTGCAGAGGCAAGAAGTCCTGTTATGGAAACATAGAAGAAGAGGAGAAAATATAGCAAGGTATATCTGAAGTCTCTGTAGCTTTCTATGGATCATCTAAACTGCTATCATAAATGTATTGTTTATGTATTAAATGCAACACCTTACTTCAAAATATGTTTATTTTCCAACATTAATCTAAAAAATATTTTGTGAATGCTACCATAATCGCAAGCAACCAGGATTAAACTCTGGATTTATCTTTGACTGAATTACTTCCCTTTTTTTTTATCTCCAGTCACCAAGTTCCCCCCACCCCATTTTTCACTTCTATCATCTGTTCAAAATCTGGACTAATCACTGCATTCTTGTCAATTTCATGACTTCGCAGCTAGTCTGCGTGCTTTTCCATTCCAATCTGTACACCATAATCTTTCTGTTCTGACCTCTAAAACCCCTATTTCCTTAGTTACTTCTTTTCCTCAAAACTACAGTATCCCGATGATACACGAAAAAATTTCAAATTCTTCCAGGTCTCAGAAAAATTTAATCTAATTATGATAAAGTCACTAGATTTGATTACCAATTTTCAGGAAACACAGGAATAGACGAACATGTTACACACACACACACACACACACACACACACACACACACACACACACACAGAGTCATGAAGTGGCAGTAGGCAAAGACCAGACTGAGAAACTCTACAGGACAAACAACTAATTTTATTCAAAAATTCCAATTCAAAATATAAGAGAAAGATATAGAATTAGAAACAGAGAAAGGGATAAAGATAATAGAGATAGAGACAGAAATAGTGATAAGGATAGAGATAGAGATAGTGGAGAGAGAAACAGAAATAGTAATAACAACACAGAGTTAGAGAAAAGGAGAGAGAGATGAATGCCCATGAGGGAAGGAAGGAACCATAAACTAAATATCTATAATGAACATATTCAACCAGTTTCAGTGCAGAGACTTTATATGGATTCTTTCTCAAACAAATACACTTAAAATATGTGAAATCATTAGAACACTGACTGGATATTTATTGATATTCACAATGTATTGTTAATTGTATTAGGTTTCATGCTGAAATATTTATGGCAGAAAGCAAAAGATGTACAAAGATGTCTAAGATATGCATCAAATTAAAAATTAACCTAGCAGGGGAAAGGCGTCTGTCCAAGTCTAGATCAATGGTTTTCAAGCAATACTGTGCATTAGAATCAACTGTAGGACTTGTTAAAATGCAAATTGATAGGTTTCACCCTGAGTTTATGATTGAGGAGGTCGAAGACAGAGCCTGAAGATTTGCATTTCAGACTGGTTCTTGTATGTTGTTGATGTTGCTAGTACAAGGACCACATTTTTGAGAATCACTTGATGGATGAAACAACATCGTTCATAAGCTGATAATTATTGAAACTGGGAGGGATGTATACTGAAGCTGGGGGTTCATTAAGTCATGCTGTCTACTTTTACATGTGTTCTATATTTTCCGTATTTGTTGAAAAGTTTAAAAATATATTTAAATTATACTTATAGTATTAGAATTCAGCATACTATTTAATTAAGAAGGAGAAAAAGGTGCGTGCTTAGGAAAAGACACATCAGGAACTTCTGGATACGATTATGTTTTATGTCTCAACCTGGGAAGTGTTAACATGCGTGTGTTCACTTTGTGATAATTCACAGAAGACTAGAATATAATCTGTGTATTATTTCTTGAGTTTAAACTCTTATATTTTTATAAAACATCTTTAAAAATAAATACATCTTTCATCTCTATTATAGTTCAGGTAAGATGGATAGATACATAGGTAGATAGTAGATGGATGTATACAGTTTTACCAGAATTTGCTTCTTACTGAAATTGAATGTTTTTGAGGAACACTAGGATGCACTTGAGTGAACATGTAAATGCATTTCAATTTTTAGAAGGAACCATTAACAACAATATGCCTGTCAGTACAGCATTTCTTTTCTTCCTTTTATAGTAAAATACCACAAAATAATATTTTGCCATACTTGTGTCTCCTATAGCTCCCTCTCTCTTAACTCCACCTCTGGAGGCATTGGACCCAAACACTCCACTGAAGTTGTTTTTGTAAAGCTAATCAAGAGTACCAACTTACCAATGCTAATGGTCAATTCTCAGTCCTCCCCTTATTTGAACTATTGGCAACATTTGACACATGCATTCTTGCCCTATTTTCTTAAAATACATTTTTTACTTGATTTTAGGGACATCTAAAAGAAACTTTTTGTTTCCCTCTTACCTCACTAGCTACTTCATCTTAGGGCCATTTGCTAGGTTTCCACAACTCTGTAATTTCTGAAATTTGGAGTGCCCTGAGATTCAGACCCCAAACCTTTTATTTTATTTTATTTTTTTCACTTTATACTGATGGGATATGTGTTTGCATGACTTTATATTCTATCTGTATGATGATGACTTCAAAACGTACATCTCCATGACTTCTCTCTCTTCTGAGCTCTAGACTCATATATATGAATACTTACTTATTTTAAATGCATCATGTGCAAAACAAATGATCATTTCTTAGTTAAAAATTTTTCATTCTTAAATTCTTTACATGTTAGCATACCACTAGCCTTTTCAGTTCTCAAGGCAGAAACCTAGAATTTATCTTTGATTCCTCCTTTTTTCACCATCAAAACATTATAACCAATTTTATCAAAAAGTTTTAGTTTGATGCATGGAACAGAAGTACTGAAAACAACCCCAGGAACTCACTCTGCATATCCTGGACTGTGACCTACATGGTAATGAGGATTTGTCGTTCTCCACGTAGGAATGGGCTCCAGTGCCTTCCCTAAATAGAAGGCCTGTGGTTTCCAATTGTTCCCAAGGTAAACATGCGCTGGACCGCTGGTGTTCCCAAACATCTGTGAAAGGCTGGCAGCCAATATGGACTGTATGGCATCCGAAGAGCTTATGTGTTCATTTTCTAAATAGACTAAACTTCTTTAAGAGGAAATAGAAGCTGGAGTTGTGAGATGCCGTTTTTGGAAAGCAGATCCACCCTGTGGGTTAAACTCTGGCTCCAGGACTTCCATCCATGTGTTAATTGGGGAATTGTGCCTTGTCTTCTTGAACTGACACTGACTTTGCAAATTTCTCCATTAACACCTATCCCTTCACCTATGTCATGGGATTCTGAAAAATTCTTGTTCTTACTCTATTACATAAGAAGTAGATAGTAATAACTCACTTTGCCACCTGATATGGTTTGGCTATGTCCCCAACGAAATCTCGTCTTGAATTCCCATGTGTTGTGGGAGGGACCTGGCGAGACGTAAATGAATTGTGGGGCAAGTCTTTCCCATGCTGTTCTCATAATAGTGAGTAAGTCTCACGATATCTGATGGTTATTATAAGGAGGAGTTTCCCTTCACAGCCTCTCTTTGTTTGCTGCCATCCATGTAAGACGTGACTTGCTCCTCCTTTCCCTCCACCATAATTGTGAGGCTTCCCCAGCCAGAAACTGTAAGTCCAGTTAAATCTTTCTTTTGGAAATTGCCCAGTCTCAGGTATGTCTTTATCAGCAGCACGAAAATGGACTAATACACCAGCTAAGGGACGAAGGGACCCATCTTATGAAACATTTGTCAATTCTACTTTCAAAATATATTTCAAATCTATGGATTCTATCTTGGCTGATATGTATAAAACTACTACCATCATCTTATCGGACTATTGCAAAGGTAGAAATCAGCTTTTTCTCTCAGAAATATGTCAGTCCTTTCAATCTGAGAGGTCTTTTCAAAACATTTTATGTCAATCCTGTCCTTCTACACTTAATAAAATCCAAACTTCCTGCTATAGCCTAAGAAAACTATAATTTGGCCATTACCTACATCTCCAATATCTTCTTAGTTCACCCTCCTCTTGTACTCTGCATTCAGCCTTGGCTTTTAAGAAGTTCCTAAAGTAAGCCAAGTGTTGTTTTTTGGAGATTCTGTTTTTTATTGCTGTGTGACAAACTACCACAAAACTGTATTATATCTCAGGAATTATTCCGCTCTGAATTTGACAGGCCCTTTGGTAGTTTTCAGCTGGTGGCCAGTCCAATGTGGAGGGTCCAAGGTGGCTTTACTCAGGTGTCTGGTTCCTTGGTTCTTTGGTATACAGGGCTAAAAGGCTGGACTCAGGTGGTCCCCTCTTTCTTTTCGTTCTAGTATTACAGCCTCTCCATCTAGTCTCCCCTGCTAGGTTGTGTGAGTTTTTACCTGGCAACTCAGGGCTCCAAGAGACCGTGTATCAAAAGGCAGGAAGTGCAACCTGTCAATCTCCTGAGCCTGATCAAAACACTGACTCCATCACTTCTACAATATATCGTTGATCAAAGTTGTCACAGAATCTACCCAGATTCAAGAGCAGAGGACAAAGACCCTCTCTCCTATTGGGAATAGGGTTAAATCATTTGGGCCATTTTAATCTACCACATGGGAGTTTGTGTTTCTGACTGTTTTGCCTAGAGCCTGCTCATGATGTTTCCCTCATCACTTCCTTCTAACTTACCTAAATTGTCAATACCTGAAGTTATAATTTCATGTTTTACCTATCAAAAATAAAATTTTCAAAAACTATTCATTATGGCAATATCCTATTTATTGACTTTAGATATTTTAGCACATTCTAAATTATTTTTTGTTGCTACTTTTATTATTCACGTTCTCCTTTACTAAATGTAATTGCTAAAATAAACAAAATTTAATCTATCTTCTTCACTATTTTTTTCTCTAGCTCCTAGCACTTTACTCAGGGCACTCAATTTTCTGTTTGTTTGTTTGTTTGTTTTTTTTGGATGATAAGGACAGTGAGGCTAAGAATGTGAAATGTTTTCCTGAGTATATGAGACTATATAGTAGCAGGTTCAAGAAAACAGCTGTCCAAAAAAAAGAAAAGAAAAAAAGAAAACTAGCACTTGACAAGTTAATAGACAGGAAAGACTTTATTCAAGACTCTTGCAATAGGACAGAGAGATTGACTCAACTTTGCTAAAAAGAAAGGCAGGTAGGGTGTGATGGCTCATGTCTGTAATCCCAGCACTTTGACAGGCTGAGATGGGTGGATCACCTGAGGTCAGATGTTTGAGATCAGCCTTGTCAACATGGTGAAACCCTGTCTCTAATAAAAATACAAATGTTAGCTGGGAGTGGTGGCGGATGCCTACAGTCCCAGCTTCTCAGTAGGCTGAGGCATGAGAATTACTTCAGCCCAGGAGGCGGAGGTTGCAGTGACCTGAGATCGCGCCACTGCACTCCAGCCTGGGCGACAGAGGAAGACTTGGTCAAAAAAAATAGAAAAGGCGCTCTGGGACTTTTAATCACTGACACGATGTGCAGTATACCTATACAACTCTTTGGCATCTGCCCAAGAAAAGGAGTTCAGGACCATAAACAGAAAATATACAGTGAAGTAATATTAATTTATTTTATTGTTTTAATATATGTATAATGTATAATACATGTATAATGTATAATATATGTATGTATGCATTGTTTTAATACATGTATAATCCAATATATGTAATAGTGTAATACATACTAGCAAATATAGAACAATGAACTTGAACAGAGTTTCCTTCTGTAAAATGGAACACAAATCATGAGAAATAAATTTGGCAAAGAAGTGGTAGAACACCTCACCACATTTTAAAGAGTTGCTAAAAGGCATCTATATAGACCTCAAAATAATGCCACAATTTTTCAGCCAAGAATAAGCATCTAAGTGAATGTAAATTAAGGAGAGGGAGAGATTTGTGTATGAAGAGAGATGTCACAATATTTCCATCTATTGTGCTGTTGTTTAAATTCAATCTGACTCTTAATTTCAGAGATAGGTTATTGGATTTTTTTTTAAAAAAATAGGATATGAGGAGTATCAGCACTAGTATTATTCAGATGCTATATATACTTAACAGAAGGATCTAACTTAATCCAATGATATCAAGCACAATTTACCTTAGGAAGTATATTTTCATTCATTCATCCATTCAACAAATATCTATTTAACTGTTACTTTATGCTAGGAACTGTTCTAACTTTTATAGATAAAACAATGAATAAAGCATTCAATTGTCTTGCTCTAATGAAGCTTATATTTTAGTTGGAGAACACAGATGGTAAGCAACATGCATAATATGAGAGGCAATAACAATGAAAGAAATTAAACCTGTTTAATATAGTATCTGAAGGGAGAGTATAAAGAAATTAAGCAAAATAACGGTAGATGTGAATAGTGTTTCATTTGGAGGCTACCATGATGTGCTTAGTAAAAACCAGTATGCTAATTTCAAGGAAAGTTGTGGCTAGATAAATATCACAAGATGAGGAGTATTATACGAGGAAGTTGAAAAAGAAGATAAGGCCTATATGATTCAAATCTGTGGAGGTAATTGCATGGATTTCTCACTTTATCATAATAAAATTGAAAGCTATTAGAAAAACAGTAACTACAAAAATATATATGAGTTTCTGGATGCAGAGACTACTATTACATTTTGATCTGAGGGGATAAAGAAGAGAGTGATTAAGCAATTATATTTGTTTCTTGGTTTGGTATCAGAAAATAGGATAAATTCTTCCTCTACAAAGTATGCATTCTGTTAATAATGGTTTGAGAAGGTGTAAAGGCTGGTGAGAAGGAAATTGGAAAATATATGACTTATTTTTTTCTTTTAAATAATTTCTATTCTTGCTGTTTAATTGATGAATCTTGTACTGGTAAAAGGTTGAGAGCTAGGTCCATTTGTGTTTTCTCTTCTTTGAAAGAGTTATGGTTATTTTCCTGGGGATAACCCTGAGATACTCATTTCTTTGTCAGGGTGAATCATTACAGGCTCTAATTTCTTTATCTATGTAGGGTGTATAGTTTCAGAAACTTGAAGGGCACCGTAGATTTCCAACTATGTGGCAAAACCAGAAATATGATAAGTATTCACTATATAGGCAGTATGTATGTATATGATATGTATTCACTATATAGGCAGAGTTTCACTTCTAAAAAATGTCTCTGTTTAAATAAGCAAAGTAATAGAAAAAAACCTGGGAGAGGTGTATTTGCTTGTGTATTAGTCAGGGTTCTCTAAAGGAACAGAACTAATTATATACATATATGTGTGGGGGGGGGGGCAGTTTATTAAGCAGTACAAAATCACACAATCACAAGGTCCCACAATAAGTCGTCTGCAAGCTGAGGAGCAAGGAAGCAAGTCCAGGTCCCAAAGCTGAAGAACTTGAAGTCCAGTGTTCGAGGGCAGGAAGCATCCAGCATGAGAGAAAGATGTAGACTGGGAGGCTAAGCCACTCTAGTCTTTTCACGTTTTTCTGCCTGCTTTATATCCTGGCCATGCTGGCAGCCGATTAGATTAAGGAAAGTTGTGTGCCTACCCACATTAAGGGTGGGTCTGCCTTTCCCAGCCCACTGACTCAAATGTTAATCTCTTTTGGCCGTACCGTCACAGACACACCCAGGATCAATACTTTGCATTCTTCAATCCAATCAAGTTGACACTCAGTATTAACCATCACAAGTATACGGGTTGTTAACTTGAACTATATACATCTCCTGAGATCATACATAATCTTCAAATAAAGACAATGAGGCTGGGTGTGGTGGCTCATGCCTGTAATCCCAGCACTTTGGGAGGCTGAGGTGGGCGGATCACCTGAGGTCAGGAGTTCAAGACTAGCCTGGCCAACATGGTGAAACCCCGTCTCTACTAAACATGCAAAAATTAGCTGGGCATGGTGGTGAGTGCCTGTAATCCCTGCTACTCGGGAGGCTGAGGCAGAATTGCTTGAACCCAGGAGACAGAGGTTGCAGTAAGCTGAGATGGCGCCACTGCACTCCAGCCTGGGTGACAGAGCGAGACTCCATCTCAAAAAAAAAAAAAAAAAGACAACAATGAGGTCTTAATTATGCCTAACATAACACAACTATCCTTTGTACAACTGGAAACACCCAACACCCAACCCAAATGCTATTACGTAAAGCTAACAATACTTAAATGCTGATACGAAGTCAATAAAACTTATGTCATCATAAAAGGAAAGAAAATGAAGATATTTTCTTAGTACAAGTTTATACATGCACAAACATGTTTTGTAACAAAAGAAGGATCAAATACTCATTACAATTACAGTCCTCATTTCTGCAACTGGTCGTGTGTCATAGCTGGTATTGATGACTACCTTCTTCTACTACCCATTCTGTATTCCCTTTACCTTTAGCAAGCACCTCAGCAGGTTATTTTTTTTTTTTTCCTGGTGGAGCAACCCAAACCTTCATTCCTGAAGGGTCTGGGCCATTTGTAGTCCTGCATGGATTGGGCAGTTGTAGTTTTCCATTGACCTTAATTACAGGGCCCTAATGGATCTCCTGTATTCCATGCATACTCTTCCTTACCTCTGTTGTAGAGTAGTAGACTGATTTCATCTTGACAGTCCAGGTCAATCACCCCAGCCAACACTGTAACTCTCTTCTTAGCCTGTTGACTTAAAGGTATGAGGAGCCCAAAGTGTCCAGGTGGCAATCTTAACTTCCAGTTTAATGGAATCGTTGTTGTACCTCCTGGTGGCAGCATTCCTCCCTCTGGAACTAAGACATCTACACCAGCAGAATGTAATGCTGCAGGAACATGGAGCAAAAATTTTGCTGTTGTATCACTAGGGGTGATGGTGAGTGGTGCCACTTTCACTTTCACCCCTTGATTCCTGGACCGGTCCTGTGAATCCTGGCTATGAGAGAAACAGTACCATATATTGGATGCTGATTCAGAGCATATGTGGCCTTCTGGAGACTTTTCCCCAGCCCTGCAATGTATTGTCACCTAGTTGGCATTGTAATTGTGATGTCAAAAGGCCATTCCACCGTTCTATCAATCCAGCTGCTTCAGAATGATGGGGAACATGGTAAGACCAGTGAAGTCCATGAACATGAGCCCAGGGCTATGCTTTTTTAGCTGTAAAGTGATGCCTCAGTCAGAGGCAATGCTGTGTGGAATAGCATGATGGTGGGCATTCCGTGAGTCCACGGATGGTAGTCTTGGCAGAAGCATTGCATGCAGGATACACAAACCCATATCTGGAATAAGTGTCTATTCCAGTGAGGACAAACCTCTGCCCTTTCCATGATGGAAGAGGTCTAATATAATCAATTTGCCACCAGGTGGCTGGCTGATTGCCCCAAGGAATGGAGCTATATTGAAGGCTCAGTCTTGGTCTCTGCTGCTGGCTAATTAGGCACTCAGCAGTGGTCATAGCCAGGTCAGCCTTGGTGATCAGAAGTCCATGTTGCTGAGCCCAGGTATAACCTGAATCCCTGCCACCATGGCCACTTTGTTCATGGGCCCATTGGTGATGACAGGGGTGGCTAGGAAAAGAAGCTGAGTGGTGTCCACAGAACAGGTCATTCTATCCACTTGATTATTAAAATCTTCCTCTGCTGAGGTCACCTGTTGGTGAACACTCACATGGAATACAAATGTCTTCACAGATATTCATCCACATCTGGATGAATCTCTTTCACAAATTTGTCACCAATTTTTTTCCAATCATGCTATTTTCAAGTCCCTGACCATCCAGCCAAACCATTGGCTACAGCCCATGAATCAGTATATAATCACACATCTGGCCATTTCTCCTTCCATGCAAAGTGCCCAACCAGGTGCATCACTTGAAGTTCTGCCCACTGGGAAGATTTCCCTTCACCGCTGTCCTTCAGGGATGTCCTATAAAGGGGCTGTAGTTCTGCAGCTGTCCACTTTCGGGTGGTGCCTGCATATCATGCAGAACCATCTGTGAACCAGGCGCTAGTCTTCTCTTCCTCTGTCAATTGATCATAGGGAACTCCCCATGAAGCTATCGGTGCAGGCTGAGTGAGAGAAGGCAGGGTGGAAGGAGTGGAGACCATGGAAATTTGAGCCACCTCCTCATGTAACTTACTTGTGACTTCAGGACCTGCCTGAGTCTGATCACATATGTACCACTTCCATTTGATGATGGAATGCTTCTGTGCATGACTCATTTCAGAAAGCACCCAGTTCATGATAGGCAGTTCAGGTCGCATGGTGACTTGATGATCCATAGTCAAACATGCAGTGTAACTATCACAACTTATTAATTAATTAGTTGTTTGTTTGTTGTTTACTGTTATTTTTTCAAAGATGAGAGGGTGATTTGAAAACAAACAAACAAACCACACACGCAGAATTTTGTTGCATGGGATAAAGTCAAGATCAGGAAAAGAAAGAAACAAAGTTGAGATAGTAAAAAATTTTCCTCCAAACTGACACTGACATTTCCTTTCAATCTACCCACCCATTCATATACCCAAACTATTTCTAAAGTGTCATTCATGGGACTTGTAACTTTTATTTTCTAGGGAGAAAGCATTTATCTTTCAATCAACAGCATCAGTCTCCTTTATGATTAACAGGATAAAGGACTGTCCCTTCTTGGCAGAGGCTAAATTTATTTCCCTGATTTTACATCCCTTCTTTAGGAAATATTAAAATGAAAACAAACAACCACTGTAATTCCAGTATTTCCTAATAATGCACTGCTTGATTTATTGTGTCAATAGAATCTTATGGGATTTGTACTACCAAGTAAGGGAACTCATTTACATGTTGAGAACCCATTTCTGGCATACATAAAAGCCGTGAGATTTACTTTACAATGTGCCAGGCCATTTATGATAAGGGTCAATTTACAACTGCTACAATAACATTAGCAATAAACAGTCAAACTATACCTATTGTTAGTCTTTAAAACTATTGCTACTAGAAATATTCCCCAGCCTCTAATCCCTACATACATGAAAGTGGATTTATTTTTCTTTTTTCTCTTTTTAAAACATAACCGTTAGACTTCTGGTTTTGTTTTGTTTCTGAGACGGAGTCTCGCTCTGTCGCCCAGGCTGGAGTGCAGTGGCGTGATCTCGGCTCACTGCCAGCTCCGCTTCCGGGGCTCATGCCATTCTCCTGCCTCAGCCTCCTGAGTACCTGGGACTACAGGCACCTGCCACCACATCCGGCTAATTTTTTGTAGAGACGGGGTTTCACCATGTTAGCCAGGATGGTCTTGATCTCCTGACCTCGTGATCTGCCCGCCTCGGCCTCTCAAAGTGCTGGGATTACAGGCATGAACCACCGCGCCCGGCCTAGACTTTATTTTTTAGTATAGTTTTAGATTTGCAGAATAATTGAGCAGATAATATATACAGCTCCATATAACTCTACACCCCTACCCACAACTGCTTGAAGTTTCCTATATTATTTACATCTTGCATTGCTGTGGTACATTTGTTATAATTAATAAACTGATATTTATGCATTATTATTAACTCTAGGCTATAGTTGATATTAAGGTTCACTCTGTCTTGTACAGTTATATGGTATTTTATCTACCACCTACTATTTTCAGACATGTACATATTTTGGATCCCTCTGCAATATCAATTCTATCATTCATTTATTCAGAATTTATTTATTGAACGCCCATTATGTGCCAAAAATCTATTTATGTACTGTGAATATGGCAGGACATAAAAAAGCAAAAATCTTGTCATTCTTTGAGTTTATATTTCAGAGTCACAGGCAGACAGTGAACATGATAAATAAATAATTACATACAGTATGTTAGTAGATAGACATACAGTATAAGGAGGAAATAATTAAACATGAAAAAGGAATTGACGGTATCAGGGAGAAAGATAAAATTTTTCAACAAGGTGGTTAGAGAGGTACTCACTGAGAAGATGAGAACGGAATGAGAGAACATGTCATTGTGTAGCTTAGGGAATGGCATATCAGATAGAGGACACGGCAAGTTCAAAATTCTGTAGGCAAGCAGGAGCTGGAGTTTTCGAGCAGCAACAATAAGCCCAGCGTGCAGAGTGAACAAGTAAGAAAATAAAGTAGATAAAATCAGAGAGGCAGTTGCAGGAGTTAGAGGGAGGGAGATCAAGGAAGAGATTTTAGATCAGAGCAGAAATACCCATTTGTGTTTTTTTAGTGGAATGGGAAAACCGAAAATATTTTGAACAGAAAAATGATAAAATCTGACTCATGTTTCCAAAGGATTCTGCTCTGCTGGGAAGAGACAGCAAAGAGAGAAGGAGAGAAGGGGCCTAGTTGGAACGCTGTTGCAAAGACTGAGGTCTGAGATGAAGGTGTACTGGGTCATAATAGTAACAGCATTAAGTGGTAAAAAGAGGTCACATTGCGGGTATATTCTAACAGTAGATCCGATAGGATTTCATCATGAGTTGGGTGTAAGGTGTCAAAGAAGAAAGGGAGTCAAGAATAAGACCAAAGTTTTGACCTGGACAAACAGAAGCATCTTTTGTTCTTATTTCTTAACCTGTTCTCAAACAACTCAGTTCTCATATCCCGTGACCATTAAAACAGTATCTGATTGCCAACTCAAGTGACAATAGCTCCATTTGACCCCATACTGCTTACTGCCTCTCCTCTTCTTTTAGAACATTTGAAATCTTAAACTCAATCTATCTAACTCGAGGCATGTTGTTTTATTCTCCCCATTAGAAATGCAGCCTGTTCATTTGACCTCTATTTTCATCCTGGTCTCTATTTCTTTGGCCAAGTAACATTCAGTGCAGCTGTTTGATATAGTGATCTAATTTTAATCAGTCCTTCACCCTCTGCACCGAGCTTCCAACATGCCCATTTTTATCAGTGAGCATAGAAGTAGGATGAAACAGTGAAGGAAAGGTACAAGAATTAGACATTTTTTTTTCATCCTCCTTTGGGTGATTGTTAAGTCTGACAGAATCCCGTGGCCAAAATGAGATAGCTCTTCCTGTGACACATAAAAAATAAATAGTAATAGCATCCTTGCAATCCAGACTGCTTTATTTTATGTTTACCACACACAGAAAAAATGAAGAAGTTCTTTGGACATTCTCTCTTCATTGCTTCTGCTACATTCCCCTCTGCTTTTGTGCACATACTGAACATCCTGCAAGGTTCAGCTCAGGCCCACTGCTTTCATCGGGAAGGTTCCTCTAAATGCTGAGTATTATATATATATACATATTTAAGATCTACAGAACTCTTCCTCTAGAGAGCTTCTTTGGAACTCTCTTACACTGATTAATATTAGTTAGTTGTCAATATGCATTTATGCCTGGCTTTCACATATTTAATATTATGATCTGTGAGAGCACGGACTTCAATTTATCCATAATGCAGTGCATAAAGCCAGTAAATACGGATTTAACTGTTTCATTCCTTTGTCTCACCAACTTCTGTTAGTTGAACTTGTTTTTATTTGGTTCGAGGTTGTTGTCCTTCTCTCCTGAAAATGAGCAATGCCCTGCCTGTGACTTCCCTCCCCTGTGCCCTGCGAATGAAGTCGTCATTGTAGTTGCTCCACCCAGCTGGAAGTCCACCTAATAAGATTTGATCAAATAATGGAATAAATAAATATTAAAATGGGATTCACCTTAGAGAATAGATCTCTCACTCAATGTGGAAAACTTTTAACTGCACTGTCCAATTCAGTAGCCACTAAGCCCATGGCTAATCCACATTTCAAGGGTAACTGAAATTCACATGGAATTTCCAATGCTTATATAAAAATATAAAATAGCTCATTTTTATATTTATTATAGTTTAATGATAATATTTTGTATATTTTGAATTGTCAAATATAACATGTCATTCATTTTAACTTCTATTCTTTTTATAAAGATAAAGAAAAATTTTACAATAAGAAAATTTATAATTACATTACGTGGCTCACATTTTTGGTTCACACTTTGGGGTTTTTTTTTTTTGGACACTGTTTTTCTTTAATATGTATTGTAGGCTGAATACTTATAGTGACAAAGAACCCACTCCTTACCTCGGCAACAATACATTTCCTTCTCCAAGCGTAGTTAGGCAACTCACGGATGTTTAAACCTTAAATACCTCTTCTCTACTGTGAACCAAATCTGATTTCTTATAATTCAGCTCCATAGATTCTAATGATGCTTGCTCTTTTTATAAATAACCCGATAAACTTTTCAAATACTTCAACTTCATTCAATTATATAACATATTCATTTAGTCTGCACCAATGCAATAAGCCTGCCAGGTATTAGATTTATATTTTACTATATCTTGCTTCAATCAAACACAGTAAACTTTGTTTAAATTTCTGGGACTTTTTAAAGCTAATATTGGTGTTTCTCTTTGTTAGATTAACCTTGGAGTCTCTGCCAAATTATAGCTTGTGAGCAGGAGTCACTACTTTTCTACCCGTGAAGTTACCCTGTAGTCTTCATTCTGACTTCTCCAAGCATCTATTATTCCTCTCACATTCACCTGTTTACCCTGTTGAAATCCTCATGATGCCTTTTTATATTAGGCAAAGGTAAAAAAAAAAAAACACAGCCTTTGCAAATGTTTCTTCTGCATGATAAATTCACTTGATTATTGGGGATGTAACAAAGGTACTATAGAAGAACAAGGGAGAAGATCAATTCAATTGATAATACTAAAAAGAAATCAACAGCTCAAATTAAACCAACAGCATTGGTTTCTTCTAACTCTGTTCCATCACATTAAACCCCTTGAAAATCACTACTCAAGGTATCTGGAGTGTACATCTACTTTAGAGTTATTTTTTTCCAATTTAAAAGATAAACTCTAAGGAACTGTGTGCCCATCATGTGTGCTTTTCTGAAGACATAATTGCTTGCTAAAGTCTGGATCTAAAAGTCACAGTGAATCTTGGTTATAAACCTGAAGTATGCAAACTTGACAAATTTTGAGTTGCTGCTAATATGGAGATGAAACAAGATTGGAGAGATACTTATTTCTCTGCAATTAAGGGTAATTACATGTTTTGGCCTGATCATTCCCTTTATGGTCAGAACAATGCTAGGTTCTTCTCTAATCCAGAGGGAAGTTCAGTCTCCCTCAGTAATTATCCCAACCACCTGGTGTGAAGAGTAGGACCAAGCTCAACCTAGTAAATAAATTATATAATATAAGCAGTGATGTAAGACTCTAAGTATAGTAGAAATGAGAATTAAAGAAATTGACAATCCTATACATTTGATTCTTTTAAATTAATATTGTGCTTTTCTGTATATAATTTTTAGTGTCCTTCTCAGTTATTGTTACAGTACACTTATGTATTATCATTAATATTATTATATGGAATCATAATGATTTAAGGATCCAACCACAAATGAAATGATAGTTGGAGAAAGTTAATAAAGTTAATGTGTGGTAGAACTGGGATGTAGTGGGTTGTCTTTTAGGTTGTATAAGTCTGACTTATGGGACCTACTTATATTTCAGTTTATTAATTTTCAATGAAATATGCATAGATTACAAAGATAGTACAGTGATGAAAATAAAAGGTAGTTCTCTCTGGTGAACATAACAACTAGGATTTACTAGGTTATCTGCCAAATTCAAAAAAAAGAACTTAAATTGAAGAGAATGGAACTGAGAAAGGGTAAATATTGTGATGGCATTGGTTGAGGGGCTGTGATAGAAGGATATGAGGTTACTTACTGTCTGAGAGAGTGTCAAGACATAGAAAAACAGAAGTGTGATTCAACAGATATCAGTGTGGCTGAGAGTTAAATCTTGTTAAAACATGTCAACTTGGGAACATTTTCAATCAAATGCAGGGTAAAAGAAGTACTGTTTTTAGAGGAGGGGTTACTGTCATGAGATTTTTGAGAACTGCGATCTATGTCATTCAGTAGCTCAGACGTTGTAGGCAAAACACTTCTCTATTTGCTTCACTGACATAATATGACAAATCACAATGATTGATGTGGTAATGAAAGAAGTATGTGAAAGTAGTTGGGCAAAATATTTTAACAAAGGGGTCAGTTTCCATCATAACTAAGATATTTTAAGGCCGCTTCAATTGGTGCAACAGTTTAAATTCAAAGCTTATCAGTTCATATTTTGCTCAAACTGATAGGAAACAAAAACAGATGAGTTATTTTTTGAAACTGGTTTTCTATAAACAATGACTATGCCAAGTCAATGGTTGCTCATCTGATAAGTGCTTCCTATAGCAAGTAGTTTAATGTGACTGAAGACATTGGAGCTGAAACCCCTGACGTAAAGAGAAGACAATGCACACACTTCCAAAGAAAGAAGAGGCACTGTTGCCTTTAAGAAGCACCATCGTGGCAAATTCTAGCTACTATACCATCATCAGAAATCCTTGTGATTCAGTTAAAAAAATTGAAAGCAAAGAAACATTTACTGTTATCTGTGTAAAGCTAAAGCTATTTAAAGAAGCCAGTGCTGTCGTAAAAATTATACCTGGAGCTTGGCAGATAGTGTCATTGCTTTCAATCTGCTAGTATTTAGAGCAAACCGACAGGGAAATGCTAATGAGTGTGCAGGTATGCACAGCACCATCTGACACCAATCACAGGCAACAGGAATAAAAACAGGTATTGGGAACAAAACAAAGAGCAGGACAGATTCCCAAAGGGAACTGTGTCAGGATGGGATCCACAGTTATCTTAGACTCCATAAGGCCAGGTGCAGATTACTCTACGCCTCCTTCTGTCACTCCTTGTTAGCGATATTCCTAATAAGCCAAACCTGCTATACATTGATCATATCAGCCATGCGTATTTAACTAAGAGATTATGCTAGGAAATAGTGAAGTCAAACCCTGTCTCTAGATCATGTTACTCCAAAACTCCATACTTATTATTTTTCTTTTTAATCCATACCTCAATGAGAAATGTCTTCCTAAAATATTTACCCCAGCTCTTGATGGAAGGCAATTATGAGAGGAGTCTCATTTTCCACTTGGTGGTAGAGGAAGCTGAAAGCTATGATATTGGATTATTTATCAAATATTTGCCACAGGTTATCTTTATCAGAAGCTGCCCACACCAGAAAGTAGTCTACATTCCTACAAAATTGGTTCCTGCTGCAAGGCCCAAGTTACAAATTTCCTGAGCTCTAGGGATCCCCATAGTTACTGCCAAGTAGATTATTATCTGAGAAGAGGGAACAATTCAGGTCATCAGACATTTTCTCATATATCACCTATCTGGATTGGGACTTCCAACTTACATTTTGCTCCATTCTGCTTTATTTATTAAGTGCTTATATTTCAATCACAATTTTATGCCCTAAAGACCAGGCAAGGACTAAACAAGAAATGTCTCTTCCTTGACAAACCTTATGTTCTGGTGAGAGAGATGGAAGCAAAACAGACCTATCTGTAAAAATATTCAGACTGCTAAGTGCTATGAAGAAAATGAAGGAAGGCAAGAGTTCAACTTTGATTGGGGTCCAGAAGAAGTTTTCTTGAGCAGAGAACAGAAACAGGAGAAAATGAGCAATGGAAGGTAAAGACGACACCAAGAGCAACTTCCTGGATGGGAACAAGTGTGGCCAGAAACAGCCAGTAGGGCTGGAGTCAGACAAGCAAGGAAGAGAATGTTAGCGGAGAAATTCAGAAAGGCATGCTACAGCCAGGTCACGTAGGAAAATGGCTTTCTACTCTGGAGAGCCATAAAAAAGTGAATGCTCAGGTCTTTTCCCTAGAGAATATAATTTGACTGCTCTGGTCAGGCTCTGGGCACAGTTATATTTTTAAAGCAGTCTGGATTTATCTTAATATAAAATCCAGATTTGATAACAATTAAAGCAGGATGTACAGGCTGCCTTTTTCTCCCACACCTCTTACTCCTCTCCCTTCTCCTTCTTTTTTTCCTAAATGTGATGGGAAGATCCTTTTGGGTGTTAAGTAGGGGAGTGGAAACATCTTATTTATCTCTTTAATGTAAAATTTTGGAAAAAGTGCAAGGATTAAAAAGCTAATCTTGAGAAAAATATTGGGAAAATTGTTGAATTTATTCTTCAAGTTTTCACCATATATATTCTTCAGAATGGAGAAAACGAGAAAAAATTATACTATAAGCTATTATATTTGTTGTGTTTGCTGGAAGAGTGGGCAGCAGAACATGTTTTGTTTATTTATTTGTTTGTTTTTTGAGGTGGAGTTTTCCTCTTATTGCTTAGGCTGGAGTGCAATGGTGTGATCTCAGCTCACCGCAACATCTGCCTCCAGGGTTCAAGCGATTCTCCTGCCTCAGCCTCCTGAGTAGCTCTGAGTAGCTGGGATTACAGGCATACACCACCACACCCGGCCAATTTTGTATTTTTAGTAGAGATGGGATTTCTACATGTTGGTCAGGCTGGTCTCAAACTCCTGACCTCAGGTGATCCACCCACCTTGGCCTCCCAAAGTGCTGGGATTATAGGTATGAGCCACCGTGTCCGGCCTCAAACATGTTTTTCAAAATGTAGACTGATAATGACATTTATTCTATCTTTCTCAGCTTAGAATTAAATGAAAATTATCTATTCCTTTTACCCTTGATGTAATTATCATTGCTATAGGCATTATTTGCACTTTTTAAAGAATAACGTAAGATTTATAATTCAGGCATTAATTTGTTTTTAAGTAATTACATATTCATTCATACTGGCATCATTCAAAACCATTAATGCATGTGTTCACCAGATATCAACAACCTTGGAGATGTATTGGTAAATAAAACACAGTTTGCTCTCATATTTTATATATAAATAGTTACAGTATTATGAGATATGTACTGTCATCAAGGCATGTGAAAAAATGGAGAGCATATAGCATAAGGACAAAGATCATTCAACTAAAAATATTTAACTTTTAAAAATGCATAAAGATGGTGTGTGTAAACACACACACACACACACACACACACACACACCCCACTTTGAGTCCAATGGCCAGAAGCTACTGTAGATCCAGGAAAAGCCTATGCCTCAATTCAAAAGCCATCAGCCATCAAGAGCAGAACTCTCTCTTCTTTGGGGCAAGGTCAGCCTTTTTTTCTGTTCAGGCCTTTGACTTGTTGAGGCCCACCCACATCATGGAAGGCCATCTGCTTTCCTCCATCTATCAATTTGAATGTTAACCTCATCCAAAAACATCCTCACAGAAAGATCCAGAATTATGCTTAACCACATACCTGGGCACTATGTGACTCAGTCAAGCTGACACATAAAATTAACTATCATAAGAACTTTAAGCAATTACTTACGTTTTCTCACTTATTTCTTAACAAAATATAACAGAGAAACCTGAAACTAAAATAACAAACTATCTAGGGAAACAATAAAATACCCAATTTTGAGTTCAGTGATTTTCCTTAATTTTCAAGGCAAGAGTTGTCTGGGCCTCAAGAAAGTTCTGAATGGCTGCAGCACTGGTGGCCAGGCTCAGCACAGAAATAGCATCTTGGCGTTCTAAGGTATCAGATTCAGACCACCAAACACTGCAGAGATTAAGGGCAGCAGGCATTCGTAGCATCCATTTCTGCTATAAATCACAAGATTATACATTTATGCTATTTCTTTCTCTCTCAATCTTAATTTCCTCTTTTTTATCTCTATATATACACACATACATACATATATACATACATACATACCTTATGTGTGTGTACATACATACGTATATATGTGTGTGTATATGTGTGTGTATAGTGTGTGTATGTGTATATGTATATATATACACACACACTATATATGTATATGTATATATATATACACATACACACTATATATGTATATGTATATATGTATATGTATATATGTATATGTATATATATACACATACACACACTATATGTATATATGTATATGTATATATATACACATACACACACTATATGTATATATGTATATATGTATATATGTGTGTATATATGTATATATGTATATATGTGTATATATGTATATATATGTATATATGTGTATATATGTGTATATATGTATATATATGTATATATATGTATATATATATGTGTGTGTGTGTATATATATATATTTTTTTCCCCAAAATCATCATACCGAATGTTCTAGACATTCTCACATGCCCCTGGGATGCAAAATAGCTGCAGTTGAAAACCCTTGGCCCAGATGGCTGTCTGAACATACAGTGTGTTGTTGTGTTACAGAGAACATGGAACCGAGGGAACCCACTCCTTTATAGCAGCCTGGTAACGAGCCTGCTTTTTTCTGTGGAGAGACATTACCTCATTCCTCAAAGTTACTCACAGCAAATGCAATGGATAAAGAGCAAACTGGGATATATTCTTGCAGCATACATAGTAAGACAGTTTAGAGAAAAAGAAAAAAATATATAGAGAAGTGTGTCTCAATAGCCACGCAGTTGACTATAAACTTTCATTCATCAATAAATACTCAGTAAGAAAATAAGCCCTGAATACGCTCCCTTCAAATTTGCATTAAAGTTCCCAAATGTAATGTTCAAGATTCTCTGTTCTCAATTTTTAGATCCTTTGCTCTGACAAAAGAGCCTTATTTAGATTTAATCTGGATTACTTCATCACTAGAGAATCCTGGGATTCCTTCCAGTGTAGTGGGTTGAGCCAGCTCAGTGCTCCTAAGTACTTAGATTGCATAGTAGATAATCCATAGAATATAACTAATAAATGTGTTTTAATCATTATTTTCTGATGTGATTTGCACAGCTCACCACCATATGTGATGGTTGTCATGAGAAGAGAGTATTTCCTTGAAGGATATGGTTGATGGTGATGTCTTCTAATGGTAGGTCCATGTGATCAAGAATGAACAATCCAATATATCTAGTTCATTTGAGTTTTCACATACTGGGTTTCTTGAAGATGGGAACAGATAGCACTGGGTCACCTCATTAGCGACACAAAATCTACAAGACCTACATTGCTTTGTTTGGCCAGTACCAAGGCAGAGACTTAGCTGCTGTTGGCAGAAAGAAAGAAAACAGAGGCATGGAGAACTTGTCACACATCTATTTGGTGTTTTTTGTTTGTTTGTTTGTTTTGTTTTGTTTGAAATGGAGTCTCAGTCTGTTGCCCAGGCTGGAATGCAGGGGCATGATCTTGGCTCACTACAACCTCCGCCTCCTGGGTTCAAACAATTCTCCTGCCTCAGCCTCCTGAGTAGCTGAGATTACAGGTGTGTGCCACCACACCCGGCTAATTTTTGTATTTTTACTAGAGACGGGGTTTCACCATGTTAGCCAGGCTGGTCTCAAACTCCTGACCTTGTGATCCGCCTGCCTCAGGCTCCCAAAGTGCTGGTATTAGAGGTATGAGCCACTGTGCCTGGCCTACTTGGTCTTATTAACTCCTCTCTCAGTGAAAGTATTCTAAATGCTTCTTTCTTCCTGTGAATTCATAAATTTAGACATTTGCAAGATTGGAAGCACTGGTCTCTGGATTCTAACTGCAGTTATTATATTTTTACAAATGTCTCTGCTAAACCTTTAAAACCTTTAAAATTTTATCTTTCATTTGATCCTTATTTTTTTGTGCAAGGTGCTCAAATGAACATGAGCTTGGGGCAAAATATGCTCTGTCCCCTGGGGGTTCTTAAAATTACACCTGTAATTTCTCTACACTGATCCCTGCCAAATCTGCCCATATCTTATTCAGCTACCCAATACAACTATCAGAGACTTAGCGGTATGTCTCTTTTTTAATTTATATATGTTTTTATCTTTAAACAAATTTAATGGATTTGGATCTGATAACTGTTTGTGAACATCCTGTACATTCATTCTTTTAATTATAATTTGGTTATTATTATACTGTAAAATAAAGACCTATCCGTTACTCATCCCAATCTTCATCCATTAGGGCTGCTATAACAAAATGTTGTAGATGTTTTGTTTACAAATGGGTAGTTTATAAATTTATTTGTCACAGTTCTAGAAGCTGGAAAGTCCAAAACCAAGGCTCTGGCAGATTTGGTGTCTAGAGAGGGCTTGTTTCTTGGTTCATAAAAGGCTATTTCCTCACATGGTGGAAGGAATGAGCTAGCACTCTGGAGTCTCTTTTACAGGAGCACTATTTCCAGTCAATAGAAGACCACCCTCATGACCTAATCATGTCCCAAAGTCCAACCTCCTAATAATATCACCTTGAGGGTGAGAATTTCAACATATGAATTTGAGGGGTGGATATAACCATTCAGACCCTAGCACCCTCCTCACCGCTGCCTCCCAATTTTAAATGCTTTTTTACTCAAGATTCAGACTGTTTTTCCAAGGCAAACTTCGTTTGTGTTCCTGATTTATCCAACTTGCTCCTTTTTGTCCAGGACTAAATCAGAACCTCAGGGAACAGTAGGATGCTTCAGGTCCATATCATACTGACTATCCTTACTTTCTATCTTTCATCTTTATTAACTCCTATTCCTTTCAATTTCCTGAATTAAGAATTTATCCCTCTTAGGTCCTCACCTCTCCCATTTTTCCCATAATAAGAAATCACTCCCAACTGCAAATAACAAGTTAGGTTCAATTGATTCTACCTTGTGTCTGAGACTTTTTTTTTTTTATTTTGCAGCCTCAGGCATCTGCTAAACATCATTTGCTTTTATTATCTGTGTAGTTTCTGATGGCTCAGCAAAGACAAGTAGGGAGAAAGAGGATCAGGCAAATAAAAGAAAAGGAAGGAGCTTCTACAATAGACTAAGATTTATGTTCCCTCAAAATATCTGAATTTAAATAAATATACCTTGCCAGCACAATTGCTAATTTTGTTTCAGATTATTCCATTCAATCTATTTGAGAGTTTTACATTTATTCTTGAGATACTACCATAACTGCATATTTTGTGAATTGCAACCTTGTCCTGATTAAGAATTCAGTCAACCTCTCCTCCTTGGTTTGAGCTTACTACCAAGTACTTTCACATCAACAAATAAAGGAGGGTTAGATGCAGAGATATAAAAGGCTTTTTGTATTTTTTTAACACTACAGGTAAACAGTAATCAAGGTTCTCCTACATCAATCATAGCACTGCCATCATCACCTATACCACTCCCACCCCCTATTCAAAACAACAGACAGAAATATCTGGAGCAGTATATCCCAAATCAGAAATTAACTGAGAAAGCTGAGCATCCTAAATGTGGATCTAGTATGTCTTCTCTATACTATAGCTCCTTCATTTCCCCCTCCTCCTTCCTTTTCAGAACCTGATTGTAATCTCTCCCCTTCCCCTGAAAACTGAACTACAGACACAGTGGCATTTTTTGCTCAGCAATACAGCTTGTGACTGTAGTTTGTGTGCAAATAGGAAGTGTTTCTTCTGGCTCTTTGTTTTTTGATGTCTTTTGCTAACATTCTACCCAAGACAAACCACACAATTTGCAGGGCCCATATAGTGAAAGTGCAAGGCTTCTTGTTCAAAATGGTTAAGCTTGTTGAGAGGGAGAAGACAAGAAACCAAACTAAGTGCTAGAGCCTTTCCGAGGGCGGGGTTCTTTGTGGACCTCAAAGACCACACACCCTCAGCCTGAATTCTGTCACCTTTCCTTTAAAGCTTTGTCCATCTCTGCCCTTCTCTGCTTCCTCTTTCTCTCTCTGCTCTCACTTCTTGCTTCCTTTCTCTCTCCTCTCTTCTTTCTCTTTTGTAACTCATTTTAGTGCCCTCTTCCTCCTCCTTATCCAATGTCAGAGAGTGATAATGAAGATGAAAACATTTTATGAATTCAGAAATGTTTTGTAATCTAAAAAAAAAATAAATAACGGTGACTAATATCACAGTATTTTTCTTCTCTACATCTATTACCCTCTGATTTCTTGTTCTTCACTGATTTCTTATCAATGTATGCGGTTTCCTTAGAGACTCTCCCTTTCAATAGTGGCCTTCCTTTTCACTCTCCCTATGACTATCTTTTTCCAAAGGACTTTTGTCACAGGGGACCCATAGTATGTAAATAAAGAATGGAAATAACGGAAGAATGACAGGATTGACAATGTTATCTTTTTATCTTTCCTTGGAAGTTTAGATGTGTAGCAATACTTCGGTATATATAGTCTATGCACATCATATAAAGGCAACATTTCAAATGTCAACAAAATCAATATAAGTACAAACTGAGCTCTCTTCTGAAAAATAAATGAAATCTATGTGGAATTGATTCTGATATTTTGCATCTACAGCTCCTAAAACCGTGATGTCACGTCTTTCCCAGCAACTGCTTGCTATGCACATAATACACCAAAAAGGGAATTTAAATTGGTTTCATTAAAATATACTCTTCTGACTCAGGTCCCAGACCAATTATATCTGCATGAATATATGAGGTTCCTGGAAGCCAAGAAAAGAAAGTATTTGTGTTTGGTATTTATTTGTATTTATATATGCAAGGCTGTATAGTTTAAGAACCCAGCTTTCAGAAAGAAATCCAGGTACAAATAAATTTTAAAAACAGACAAAAGCCTTTTGATGTATTATTGCACAGATAGTACTTTACTACACAAGTGGCATGTAACATGTCTTGTACTAGGTTATGCGTGCATTTTAATAATTCCTTTAGAGCCACAGTGTGTCTGGAATTGGTTCCTTCCGGTGGGTTCTTGGTCGGGCTGATTTCAAGAATGTAGCCGCGGACCTTCCCGGTGAGTGTTACAACTCTTAAACATGGTGTGCCCGGAGTTTGTTCCTTCAGATGTGTCCAGAGTTTCCTCCTTCTGGTGGGTTCCTGGTCTCCTTGACTTCGGAACAAAGCCGCCGGACCCTCACGGTGAGTGTTACAGCTCTTAAAGATAGTGTGTCCGGAGTTTGTACCTTCGGATGTTCAGATGTGTCCGGAGTTTCTGCCTTCTGGTGGGTTCATGGTCTTCGCTGATTTCAGGAGTGAAGCCACAGACCTTCCCAGTGAGCGTCACAGCTCTTAAAGGTGGCGCGTCCGGAGTCATTTGCTCCTCCCAGAGGGTTTGTGGTCTCACTGACTTCAGGAATGAAAGTGCAAATCTCACGGTTAGTGTTCCAGCTCATAAAGGTAGTGCAAACCCAAAAAGTCAGCAGCAGTAAGATTTATTGTGAAGAATGAAAGAACAAAGCTTACACAGCCTGGAAGTGGACCTGATCCGGTTGCCGCTGCCAGCTGTGGGGATGGCCAGCTTTTATTCCCTTATTTGGCCCCACCCACATCCTGCTGATTGGTCCATTTTACAGAGTGCTGATTGGTGCGTTTTTACAGAGTGCTGACTGGTGTGTTTACAATCCTTTAGCTAGACACAGAGTGCTGATTGGTGCATTTACAATCCTTTAGCTAGACACAAAAGTTCTCCAAGTCCCCACCGACCCAGAAGCCCAGCTGGCTTCACCTCTCAATAACAGACTAGTGCAAAAGGAACAGACATCTTTACCCACTGGCCACTATCTGATAACTAGGTTATGCCTGCATTTTAATAATTCCTTTAGAGCCATAGCACACTAGTGCGAAGGGAACAGAAATCTTTACCCACTGGCCACTGTAATGATTCAAGAGAGTCTGAAACTCAAGTGTAAGATTTCAACTTCTGAGGTGTAAACCTCCTATTTAAGAATTTCAATCAAGTCATAATCATTGATTATGACTCTGGGAGATCCCACCAGAAAGAAGCCTGGCATTTGAGCTCCAATAAGGCACTCAGATTAATTCCAAACGGGGTGGGGTTTACTCATGCAGACTGATAAGAATAAGCACTAAGGCTCCCTGCCCAAAGAAAAATACAGATGTAGCCCCGGTTTTTCAATGTCACCTTTGTATTGACACAAAGCATACATGTAATAAAGTGTACAAATTGGAAGTTCATACCTCAGTGAATGCTCATAAATGCATATGCCTGGCTGGATGTGGTGGCTCATACCTGTAATCCCAGCACTTTGGGAGGCTGAGGCAGGCAGATCGCGAGGTCAGGAGTTCGAGACCAATCTGGCCAATATGGTGAAACCCCATCTCTACTAAAAATACAAAGAAAATTAGCCAGGCGTGGTGGCGTGCACCTGTAGTCCCAGCTACTCAGGAGGCTGAGGCAGAAGAATGGCTTGAACCCAGGATGCAGAGGTTGCAGTGAGCTGAGACAGCGCCACTGCACTCCAGGCTGGGTGACAGAGCAAGACTCCATCTTAAATAAATAAATGAATAAATGCATTTGCCTATGAAGCCGTCATTCAACTTCAGTTGCAGAAAAAAGTTAACATCCAGAAAATTTCTTTGTGCACCACCAAGTCAAGAATCCTCATTCAGAGTGAACCATTCTTCTCATTTTTATTAGCATGACCTTTTTTCTTTCTATTTTTGAATTAAGTATAAATAAATAAATGGAATGATACAGAATGTATTTTCTTTGTGTCTGGCTGTTGTGCCCACCATTAGACGATATAGTTACCTATGTTATGGTACATAGCTGTACTTTGTTTTGATTACTATTTAAGGTCCCAGTACAATAACATAATTATTCATTCACTGTACTGCTGATGAATCCTTGGGTTTTTTTCTCGTTTGGGGCTATTGTAAATAAAGTTGTCATGGGCATTATTATACAAATCCTTTGTCTGGTTCTTAAAATTTAATGCTTAATATGTATTTATTATTAATGGATTTCCTTTTGATCTATGCTTAGTAAAAGAAATACTGAACATTTCTTATATTTTTAGCATTAACAGATAGCTACTAACAATTTTTCTAAGTGATTATACAAATTGATACACTTACCTTCAAAGTATGGGTGTTCTAGCTGCTATAAACACTAGCTTACTCTTGATGTCATTAGTCTTTTCAGTCATGGTATCTCACTGTGTTTTAAATTTGCATTTCAGATGCATAATGATGGTGAGTCTCTTCCTTACTGTCATTGGTCATTTGAATTTCCTCTTTTGTAAAGTGGCTATTCAAGCTTTTTACCAATTTCTTTTTTTAATTTTGTGTGTGTGTGTGACTTTTTATTATAGATTTGTCAGAATACTTTATATTTTATGGAAATGAGTCTTTGCCACTTATTTGTATCATGAATATTGTCACTCACAATGATGTTTTTTGATGAACAGATGCTCACAATTTTAAAGTACATTTATCCATATTTTATGTGCCTTCTTCAAGAAATTGTTGTCTATTCTAAGCCGAGTTCACTAAGATACTGTCTTATATATATTTAGATACATTGTTTTGCTGTCTCCCAGGCTGGAGTGAAATGTTGTGATCACGGTCCAAGGCAGCCTAAAATTCCCCCTCAAGGGATCCTCTTGCTTCAGCCTCCTGAATAGCTGGAATTACAGGCATGAGCCACCTTGCCAGGTACCTATGCTTTCTTTAGACATTTTGTTATTTTACCTTTTACTTTTTTTTTTTATTTTATTTTAAGTTCCAGGATACATGTGCAGAACGTGCAGGTTTGTTATATAGGTATACATGTGCCATGGTGGTTTGCTGCACTTATCAACCTGTCATCTAGGTTTTAAGCCCCGCATGCATTAGGTATTTGTCCTAATGCTTTCCCTCTCCTTGCCTCCCACTCCCCTATAGGCCCCAGTGTGTGATGTTTCCATCCCTGTGTCCATGTGTTCTCATTGTTCAACTCACACTTATGAGTGAGAACATATGGTGTTTGGTTTTCTGTTCCTGTGTTTGCTGAGAATGATGGCTTCCAGCTTCATCCATGTCCCTGCAAAGGACACGATCTCATTCCTTTTTAGGGCTGCATAGTATTTCATGGTGTATATGTGCCACATTTTCTTTATCTATTTTATCATTAATGGGCATTTGGGTTAGTTCCAAGTCTTTGCTATTGTAAATAGTGCTGCAATAAACATACAAGTGCATGTGTCTTTATAGTAGAATGATTTATAATCCTTTGGGTATATACCCAGTAATAGGATTGCTGAGTTAAATCTTCACCTTTTACATTTAAAGTTATGATTCATCTCAAGCTAAGTTTTGTATATGGTAAGAAGAGGGATCATGTTTTGCTTTTTTGTTTTATCTTGAGATAGTCTATAATTCTAATATCATTCATTGCAAAGAAAAATACTGGTTTTTATTTGGTTTGCTTTTTTGTTGTAATAAGGTCGTGCTTACTGTGTGCAATTCCAAAAGGACACAACTTGTTCCTCCAGCTAACAGTTGATAGGGCATTGGGTCCTAACATAGTGTTCACGTTTTGTATTTTAACACTTTCTTATTGTCTTTATTTATTTACTTACTTTCTTATATTTTAAATTTAAATTTTATTTTATTTATTCATTTCTTTTTGAGACAAGGTCTCACCCTGTTGCCCAGGCTGTAGTACAGTGGCACGATCATGGGTGACTGCAGACTCAAACTCCAGCTCACGCTATCCTCCTGCTTCAGCAACCCGATTAGATGGGACTACAGGCATGTGCCACCAGGCTGAGAGGTGACAGAGTGCTGGCAGCCCTCGCAGCCCTTGCTCACTCTCGGTGCCTCCTCAGTCTCAGCGCCCATTCCGGCCGCGCTTGAGGAGCCGTTCAGCCTGCCGCTGCACTGTGGGAGCCCTTCTCTGGGCTGGCCAAGGCCAGAGCCAGCTCCCTCGGCTTGTGGGTAGGTGTGGAGGGAGAGGCACGGGTGGGAACTGGGGCTGCGTGCCACGTTTGCGGGCCAGCGCGAGTTCTGGGAGGGGGTGGAGTTGGCGGGCCCCACACTTGGAGCAGCCAGCCGGCCTGCAAGCCCCGGGAAGTGAGGGGCTTAGCACCTGGGCCAGCAGCTGCTGTGCTCAATTTCTCGCCTGGCTGTAGCTGCTTCCCCACAGGGCAGGGCTTGGGACCTGCAGCCTGCCATGCCTGAGCCTCCCTCCACCGCCATGGGCTCCTGCGCAGCCCGAGCCTCCCCGATGAGTGCCGCTTCCTGCTCCACGGTGCCTGGTCCCATCGACCGCCCAAGGGCTGAGGAGTGCAGGCGCACGGCGTGGGGCTGGCAGGCAGCTCCACCTGCGGCCCCGGTGCGGGATCCACTGGGTGAAGCCAGCTGGGCTCCTGAGTCTGGTGGGGACTTGGAGAACCTTTATGTCTAGCTAAGGGATTGTATATACACCAATCGGCACTCTGTATCTAGCTCAAGGTTTGTAAACACACCAATCAGCACCCTATGTCTAGCTCAGGGTTTGTGAATGCACCAATCGACACTCTATATCTAGCTACTCTGGTGGGGATGTGGAGAACCTTTGTGTCTAGCTCAGGGATTGTAAATGCACCAATCAACACCCTGTCAAACTGGACCAATCAGCTCTCTGTAAAACAGACCAATCGGCTCTCTGTAAAATGGAGCAATCAGCAGGATGTGGGTGGGGCCAGATAAGAGAATAAAAGCAGGCCGCCAAGGCAGCAGTGGCAACCTGCGAGGGTCCCCTTCCCCACTGTGGAAGCTTTGTTCTTTCACTCTTTGCAATAAATCTTGCTGCTGCTCACCTTTTGGGTCCACACTGCCTTTATGAGCTGTAACACTCATGGCAAAGGTCTGCAGCTTCATTCCTGAAGGCAGTGAGACCACGAACCCACCAGGAGGACCAAACAACTCCAGACACGCCGCCTTAAGAGCTGTAAAACTCACTGCGAAGGTCGGCAGCTTCACTCCTGAGCCAGCAAGACCACGAACCCAACAGAAAGAAGAAACTCCGAACACATCTGAACATCAGAAGGAACAAACTCTGGACACACCACCTTTAAGAACTGTAACACTCAGCGCGAGGGTTCGCGGCTTCATTCTTGAAGTCAGTGAGACCAAGAACCCACCAATTCCGGACACAATGCCTTGTTCATTTTTTCTTTTTATCTTTTGTAGAGACAGGATGCACTTTTTTGCCCAACTGTGTCTCAAGCTCCTGACCGCAAGTGATACTTCCACTTTGGCCTCCCAAAGTGTTTAGACTATATGCACAAGCCATTGTGCTCAGCCTTAAGACATTCCTATATTGCTACAACTGAAAATTTTTTTTTCCTATTCTATGCTACTTCTTTAATGCAAAAGGATATATTAATTTTTTAAAACTTTATGGTATAGTCCAATAAAATAGGTAAGGGGGAGGTCAAGGCTAGTTACTATAGTCTGATAAGAAGGTATTTTATTCTCAGCAGAAAATTGTATTTCTGGAGGAAAAATGCTACACAACTTTGTTAAACAAAGAATCTGTTCTCTCTCTCTTCTGAAATGTTGAAGCATGATTTAAAGAAGTGACTGGGTCTCTCTTGATTAGCTGGCACAGCAGCCAATAGTTCTAATCTGATGACTACAAATAAAATTACTGCAAGATTCAGTTTGTATGATTTTCATGTTTTGAACTCCCCTTCCACAGCAGTTTGGTATCTAGCAAATGCAGTAGGCCTTTTAATTTTTTTAAGTACAAGCAGCAGCTATGTTACACATGAGAAAAGAACTATGTTGATTTGAAACTCATGGGCAGCATCAGAAGCAGAGACAAGCTGTATCTAAAGTGGACAAAAACAATGGAATAAAAAAGAGACTGGGCACGTGGCTCACGCCTGTAATCCCAGTACTTTAGGAGGCGGAAGTGGGAGGATTGCTTGAACTTGAGAGTTTGAGGCCAGCCTGGGCAACATAACAAGGCGTTGTATCCATAAAAATAAAAAAAAAATTAGATAAGTGTTGTGGTGCATGCCTATAGTCCCAGCTACTAGGGAGGCTGGGGTGGGAAAATTCCTTGAGAGGTTGAGGTTGCAGTGAGACATGATCACACCATAGCACTCCAGCCTGGGTGGCAGAGTAAGACCCTGTCAAAAAAAAAAAAAAAAAAAAAATAGACATATGCTGCTAAGTGAATTTTAAAAAGCAATGCTAAAATAATATCTTTTCTTAAATCTACCTGGTTTTCTAAGAACTTTCTACTTAATTACCTTTTTGGGGAGATCATACGCAGATTTGCTGGCTCTGCCAAAACTCTAGAAGATAATCTACAGTATTCTAAGCCATTACTGGCTACTGTTACTTGACTTAGAGTTATTTTATTATTTATTCTATTATAGCAATATTAGATCAAGGACAATGTAAAAGAAAAGTCCAAGGGAATAAAGTGGGAACAAGCAGTCAGACTATGAGGAAGGGCATGCTACACAGATGGTACTAAAATGTGCGGCCCACAACCAGCGAAATAAAGATAGGGAGAGGGAAGAGAGTATTGCAAAATATATTTTCCCAGAAATTTCCATTTTCCCATTGGAAGGAGACCATAACGCACAACAATATAAAATATCTAATTCCTTTTTGACATCTCCCAGAGAACATTTGAGCTTTTTGTAAAATTTAATTGGAGCAACAAAAACAACAAAAATACTCAACCAGAAAGATAACACGCTTGTGCACTAAAATGATACAACATTAATGAAAGAAATATTAAAAGACATCTCATATCCATGAGGGGGGAGGGGGGAGGGATAGCATTAGGAGATATACCTAATGTTAAATGACGAGTTAATGGGTGCAGCACACCAACATGGCACATGTATACATATGTAACTAACCTGCACGTTGTGCACATGTACCCTACAACTTAAAGTATAATAAAAAAATTAAATAAATAAATAATATTATTAAAATGTCCATACTACTCAAAACAATCTACAGATTCAATGTGATCTCTGCCAAAAGTCCAATGGCATTTTGTTACAGAAATAGAAACAGCAATTAGAAACTAAATATGAAACTACAAAAATCCTCAAATAATCAGAACAATCTTGATCGATAAGAACAAAGATGGAGACATCAAACTTCCTAACTTCAAATTATTTTACAAAGGTATAGTAATCAAAACACTATGGTACTAGCATAAAAACACACATATAGACCAATGGAACAGAATAGAGAGCCCAGAAATAAGCCCATGTGAATAAAAATCAACTAATCTTTGACAAGGGCACCAAGATTACAAAATAGGAAACAAATAAACCCTTCAATAAATGCGTTAGAAAAACTTCATATTCATAAGCAAAAGAATGAAAGTATAACCTTACTTTACTTACACAAAAAACAATTCAAAGTAGACTGAAGATTTAAATATAAACCTGAAAATGTAAAATCTCCTAGAAAAAAAAAAGCAGAGCAGAAAAACTCCTTGGCATTGGTCTTGGCAATGATTTTTTGGACATGACACCAAAACACAGGCAATAAAGGCAAAAATAAACAAGTAGGACTATATCAAACTAAAAAATTTTTGTAGAGCACAAGAAACAATCAGCAGAATGAAAGGGCAACATACAGAAACATTAAAAAATGTTCAAACCACATATCTAACAAGGAGTTAATATTCATAACATATAAGGAATTCATACAACTGTATATTAAATAACCAAATAAAAAATGAGGAAAGGACATAAATAAATACTTCTAAACAGAAGAAATTAAAATGGCCAAAAGATATATGAAAAGGTGGGAATGTAAATTTGTATAGCCATTGTGGAAAAGAATATGGAGACTTTTTTAAAAAATTAAAAATAGTGCTGCTAGTAGTACAGCACACACACACTACTACTTCTACAACACACACACAAACACACACACACAACTCAGTGTACATCAAAAGTAATGAAAATCAGGATCAGGAAGAAATACCTGCACCCTCATCCCTCACGTTAATTGCAGCATTATTCACTATAGTCAAGTTATGGAATCAACCTAACAGTCCTCTGATGGATGAATGAAGAAAGAAAATCTGTTTATATATACATACACATATATATGTGTATATATAAATATATGTAAAATATACACACATATACATATATGTACATATATGCACACATATATACGTGTATCTATAGCTATATCTATATATTTGTATATACATGTATCTATATATATAGATTTATATATTTATATAGATAGATATACTGCTTAAAAAAAGGAAAATCTTTCCATTTGCGACAACATAGATGGAGCTGGAAGATGGAGCTGGAAGAAATAAGCAAAGAAAGAAATATGGCATGATCTCACTTATATGTGAAATCTATAAAAGTCAAACACAGTACAGCAGCAGAATGTTGGCAGCCAGGGGTGGGAGGTGGGGAAAATGGAAAGATATTGGTCAAAGGGTACAAAGTTTCAGTTATGCAAGACAAATAACTTCTGGAGATCTAATATACAGCATGGGGACGAAAGTTAAAAATACTGTATTACATACTTGGAATTTGCCAAGAGGATAGATCTTACATTTAATCTTTTCACCACATGCACGCAAACACACAATGATACCTATGTGAAGATAGATATGTTAGTTAGCTTGATTGTGGTAAGCATTTCACAATGTATACTTGTATAAGAACATCAAGTTGTAAACCTCACATATCTATATGTATATATAATTTTATATATTAGTATCTTAAAGCTGTTAGCAAAATATGCCATTTTTAAAGAAGGAATTTAATTGGAGAGGACAGAGATAATCTCTCTATCTGTTTCATGTTAAAAAACTAGCTCTGTTTAATGGAAATAGGCACCTATTATCTGATGAGTTCTTCTCTTTATTTCATTAAAAAGATTTTTATAAAGGAGGAGTTTTTTTTCTGACTTAGACCAGTGAGATTTCATTAAACATACACATACAAACACACTCACAAAAGAGGACTCTCTAGCCAGATACGGTCTCATCATTTCGTGTTTCTAGCAAGATAATTATAGTGTAAAACATAGACAAATGTGGGTACGAAGAGCTTCATTTTCTGCCTAGCTTGCTGAAGGTCAAAGTTTGGTAACCTGTGGAGGAAGCCTTCTAGTGTGAGCCCATCATCACATCATGAACAGCAAATATAGCATCAGCTTCCTTCCTGAGCCTTGTGATTGTTCTGTGCTGCAAGGGGAAAATCAGTAGAGGACATCCTGAGGAAGTGAAAATCAGCTTTGCCTTACTTCATTTGTACCAGCTTTCAGAATAAGATGATATTGCCACTGATGAGTTTCTTTTAAATGACTGTTTTCTCCAGCGGTATTTTATAAACGGTTGTTGCATTAAAGAGTAAATGAAACCTCCCCGAAGAACACACTCCACCATGCCTTTAGTGTCTTTACTGACACATCTGGGAAGACGGATGGACCCTAAAGAGCTAGCTGCAAACTAAGTGAGTCACATTTGTCTCCCAGGAATGTTTTATATGCTGCAAAATGTGACAAAGGCCATTACGGAGATTATATTTCCCAGCAATGAATCCGCTGTCCATCCTCTGCTATTCCAAACATTCAGAAAATTTCTCAGGAATTACTGATGGCCCAGAAAGCAAGCAGTCATTGACTCGCTGCCCTAATATTTTCCCTGAAGATAGGGCAATGACAATAAATTTCTTAAATTGAGAATGGGTGTTGAAATATATGAAAAAAAACTTTCTAAATTCTACTCATTCAAAGTTTTATATAAAAATATTTTCCACAGTTTATGTTGATAATCAGGTGTATGTTACTATCAGCTAAACGAAAAATTTCAATATTGCAAAATATATATTCTTGGCTTTCTTCTAAAATTTGTCATCTGTGCCACCTATTCATTTACAAATGTTAAATTGTTTAAGTCAACTAAATCCTTGTACTATTTACTGAGAATATTTAAGCTAGAAACACGGTCTCTGACCTTGAGAAGAGTATGAAAATAAAATTAAATGATACATATGCAGCAAAAGTGCACAATTAAGAAGTAGACTATTTGATGCATATCTGGATACATTAGCAGTAGATACACTTACAGGATGCAATAATTGTCAATGTTTCCAGGAAGCAAGTCCAATTCATGGTGGTCATTAAAGGATGAACTGTTAATTTGACAAGTCGAAATGTGGGATACACTTTTAAGACACTTATGGATTCAGTAAAAATGTATGTGTTGTGTATTAAAGCCACATCACATCCAGGCATGAAAGATGCTGTTTGGCCCAACACACCCATCAGCTCTGACTACTGTCTTTCATGCTGCTTTTGGTTTACATCCTGTGCCTGGGTTCTCAAATGGCTCAGTTTCAGAGCTCTCTCAGAACCACAGCTTTTAGCCCTGGTTTTCAGCATTCCCCCAGTTTTGCCCTTTGAAACTCCCAGTAACACCTTCGTAAGGCGTTTCACTTTATATGCAAGGCTCTGTTTCTCAAATCATGCACAGGAACTCCTGATTTCTTTTCATTGACCTCTAGAACTAACTTCTTGTGCTCCTGGAATAGGACCTTGCTGTACTTGCTGGTGACAAATAGTAAACAGAATGCCAGTCAGAAACATAGCAAAACAAAATAACAACAATAATGTATGTTTCTTTACCTGGGCATTAATTTTCCTGAAACTAATTGTTTGAGCATATCAGAATGACTTGTGAACCTCTTTACCCATAACATTACCCATCATCCATAGCGTTATTATGTTTGTGTTTTTAGTCTATAACTGAAATCTAGCAGCTTCATCCTGCCTCTTGCCAAGAGAAGCTATAATGCTCAGTGAAGAACCTGATGTGGCCCCACAAATACAGTCTTATGTAAACAATTAAATGTAGTGATTGAACCCACTTTCTGTCACCTCAGAAGGACAATCAACTTTTAGGACCATTCTTAAACATTTAAAGGACTTGGGGCAGATATAGCAGGCAAGAGAAAACATAAAAAGACCGAGACTTAATATAATATAGAATTGATCTTGCATAACTGCAAAACCTCTAGCTTCTGCATATTCCTTTATTACTGGAAAATTCTGAATTTATTGCTTTTATCTGGGCCCCAACTTACTTTCTGCCATATTGAATAGTAGTCAGTTACTTAGAAACAATTAATATAGTTTATTGTAATGAATTTCTTCTTCACCCTTAAAAAAGTATGTGTGTGTGCATGCATTTGTGTGTGTAATAAAAGCATAGCATATAAATATATGTATTCATTTTTAGTATACAGTTTTCCAGTTCTAATAAGTTATCAAGAAGGAATTAATTATCAGGCCATGATACGAGAGGTGAGGGAAAACCTACTTCTCAGCAGTTAGGTCAGCATCAAAGAGAAGCTGATTGAATTGACTTGGAACATAGCAGAAAATGGAAAGTAACATCAGGAGCTCAGGAAGACAGAGTAGAGTTGATAAATCAGTCCCGAACATGCAAAGTCATTATTGTAAAGGGCAGTGAAAAGACCAAGAAGTGAGCATGATAGAGCTGGATGAATCAGTGGTTAGCCAGGAGGCCTAAAGATCTGAAATTGTTAGTTGAGCCTTGAGTGTTACCTGCTTCTACACCTTTCTACTTCACGAGCCAAACCACTTTTAAAAAAAGGCAGAATGTTTCCTACTCTAAAAGAATGTAGCAGAGAAAATCAAGACATGATACTTCACACATCATTTTTCATGTCATGTTTAGAAAAATGTATCCATATTTTATAATTAAATATATTTACAATATCAAATATATGTCTATAATTTATCATTATAAATTATATAATCTTTATATATACAGACAGAGAAAAAAGAAGAGAGAGAGAAGTGGAGATTGGAGAAGTCTTGAGACATTCTGAAATGGGCTTATATGAGAAATCCAAAGAATGAATGAATCCACAAAGAAATGACTAAATCTAGAAGAGTTAAACAGGTACATATCATGGTAGGTGCCCGTGTCTTCATCTAGGGTTGAGGAATAATGGAGTATGTCTACGGAGATTGTCTCTACCTAGCATATATTTATTAACCATATTTTTGTTAGTGTCACAAGTTAATAACTAAAATAAATCATAGCTATTCATTATTTTACACCACATGTGCCTACCAGTATCCCAACAGGTGATTATCAAACAGCTTTCTAATTTAAATCCTTGTTGCTCATTATTCTTCCAAACTTTATGCTTAGGATTACTGAAATATTCCAGATGTAGCCTCATTTTACAGTTTTTCCTCTTTATAATGGATTGTTTTGTGTTATAGTAAGATGATTGCTGTGCAATCACCTGGTATATGTCAGCATGTTATAACACTTTCAGTAATTTCATCTTACTTCGTACATACTGCAACTCGTTACAAATGAATGCATAAAAATATGAAATACCCCTAGCAAATCATGATTACATAAAGGCACTCAATTTTGTTTTTCCACAGGAAATTTGGAAGTAACTTCTCTTAATAGGCAACATGCAGTTTTGAACCCTTAGCTCTGGGGTATCCACTGATGAGAACAGTTGGTGAAATAAAGATCATGCTCCCAACCGTAGTTATTTTCAAGTAGGTCTACTCGGCAATTTGTTTTAGTGGTTCCTGTGGCTCTCTGTAAGAGAGGACCACCTCGAATTTCACTTCGAGTCTCTCTGGTGGAGGAGGAAAAACCTCTCCTTTTATTCAGCTTTTATATTGTATTTATAGATGTTTGCCTAGTTTAGCTCTGGAGTAGAATTAATATATTTTACTTCCATAATATAACTATAGAAAACAGTCATATATCTATAATTGTATAAAATTGTATGATTTTAGGTGTTCTTAAAGCTGTTGGGTTGTTGGAATCACACCTTATTCCTGTATTATGAAATTCTGTTCTCCTCTAAGAGTCCACCATTATAAGGTGTTTTCCCTATAATTTAAGATTTAATTTCCAGTAAAATAAAGTCATCTGGATTATATGACCATTTAAGTGTCCTCAGTTGCTTACACCATATAGTATTTGAAAGATATGGGCATCAATATTTATAGAAAGGTAGAGGTTTTTTTTTTTTTGTACTTACTGTGGTAGTAAGGAAGAAATGGCCATTACTGCTTGTACGTTAGTCACATAAGAATATTATATGTGAAGTTTCTATATAAACTGTAAAGTAGATATTCAGAACAAGCTATTATTATACAAAGGTAACTGGTATTCTTTCCATTTAGCATGTTAAACCTCAGCCTCCGAGTGATAAATCAATCCATGGGTAATAATGTGCTATCAGATATTAAAGTAATTTTATGTTCAGAGACATAGAAAGAATATAACCATTTGACTTGACCAAATATGACTTGGAATCTTAGTTCTCACACCTACCTTTTTACCTTGAACAAATCACGTCGCGTCTCTGAATTACCTTCTCTTCAATTATAAAATATAAGGAATGATAGATAAGCCATAAGCCTGCTATAATTAGTTCTGCACATTCTGTAATATGTGACAGGTGCTCAATGAAAGGTAATTATTGTTGGAAATATTGTAGTGTGGAAGCTCAGCAAATATTTGCTGATAGACAAGCAGAGGACCACACACTGTTGCAATTTAGCATGTTAAATGCAAAACTGCAGTTTCTGAATTGCCCCTTGGGAGACAAGAACTAGAAATTCCCTCTTTCTCCAGCTTCAATTAGAAAAAAAAAAATACTACACCTGGAGAATTCTTGTAAAAACAAGATAATTTCACAGGTTCAGAGAAACCATGCAAGGTAACAAAATAGAGACTCAATCATTTGAGAATCAAGGCAATAACTCAATTGTTCAAATTCAGATATAAAATATTTTTACTCAATCACAAGAAACATAAAATCTTTATTGTTATTACTACTACTACTATTATTATTATTAGCTGATACTTTAGAAAATATACCCTACCCTAGGCATTGTGTTAAAGAAATCTTTAATATTTGATATCACAGAAATAGAGAGGTGGTCTTTTGGATGGATCATCTCTGTTGTACAAATGTGACCTTTGAGGCACAGTGTGCAGAACAGAAATCCACTGGATGTGTTAAATAAATAAATTACTAGGTAAATGAATTTATTGAATGACTTTCCCTGTCAGAAACATAATCCAGTGCTATACAGTCTGAAGTTTGAAGGTACTTAAAACTAGGGCTCTATGTAGAAGTAGAAACAGCATTAATATTAACCTGGTTCAATTTTGTTGGCCAGTGTCATTGCTCAAATTAAACCTAAATCAACCCCAGTACCTGCGCCTATATGTGCACAGTGAAAGGGAAGGATATGGGTTTAAAGACAAGGGCCATTAAGGTCTTTGCATCCAAGTGCATTCAGTTCCACAGAGATTAGAGACTGATAATTTGATACTAGTGTTTCTCTGGCCCACATTTGGAACATTTTTGACATACTGATGATTCCTGGCTCTACTCTAGTACCACCACAGCAGAATCTCAGGAGATTGAGCTATGCTTGATCAGCCAGAATTGAGAAATAGCTGCAATACTTACCCTGCCTGGAGGATAAAGTGAAGGTTAAAGATTTTATCCTATCTGCTCTCATGCCTTGAGAACAGAACTCTACTGGATCCATTGAATAAATAAATATGTAGGTGAACTAATTAACTGAGTATCGCTGACAGACTTGACTTTCTAATTAACATTTGCATGTTTCATAACTAAGTTTAAAAGTACTCAGTGACTTCCATCTCCTATAATAGCTCTGAATGTTTTTCTAATCTCTTTCTAACCTGGCCCAGCCTCATACTCCACACCTGGGTGCTCAGTCTCCTAACTCCTTCTCTCTAGTCAGTATCCCATGGGCAAGTAATAATACAAGGTGCCATTCAATGATAATCACAATTATTTCAGCCATTTTAAAAACCAAATACAGTATGTTTTGCAGTCTTGTTTCCCACTTATAACCAACACAGCTATAGTCTGTTGATACCAAAATATTCACCCACAGATGCACACTTCACAGTTCATACCCACAGCTTTGGCTCATGTCGGTTCTTCTGTTGGCCTCTGGGTGCTATCTTGCAAGCTGAGGCTCCCTGGAACCATCACTATGGGACCAGTACATGAAAGCTAAAAAAATTTGGACTCATTGCCCTTATCAGTCTTTATCATAGTCATCTGCCATTCTGAGACCGCCATTGACCACACACTAATGAAATGCTGTCTGCTGATGATAACACTCACATACCATGGTGAGCTCTCCAAATCACACCAGTAAAGTAACAGTACATAAGGGATATTTATTAGTTCTTCTTCCTGGGTTACTTATTATTCTAGTAAAGTAATACTATTTTAGGAATCTATTGTGCAGGGGGGAAATGTGACTTAAATTAGACGTTTCTAAAGCCTCATCTCCAGCAGTATACACCTTTGAGACACAAGATTGTTTCTTCCTCTTTAATCATCGATTTTGAGAAACATAGCAAAGGCTCTATACTTGCATAAAAACAGTACAGCTTAAATTTTCTTTTATTTATTTTATTTAGCACTTTCTTTTCTTTTCTTTTTTTTTTTTTTTTTTGAGAGGGTCTCACTCTGTCACCCAGGCTGGAGTGCAGTGGTACAATAATGGCTCACCAAAGCATTGACCTCCTAGCCTCAGCCTTCCAAAGTAGCTGGGACTACAGGCATGTGTTGTTGTGCCTGGCTATTTTTCAAATTTTTTCTGGAGATAGGGACTCACTACGTTGCTCAAGATGGTCTCAAACTCCTGGGCTCAAGTGATCCTCCCACCTCAGCCTCACAAAGTGCTGGGATTACAGGCCTGAGCAACCATACCCAGCTGAAATTTTCTTTATACCAATTAGCAGAATACACATCACATTGGAGACAAAGTACAGGGCTAAATTAAGTTAGTATAATGCCTAAGTCCAGACATATTTCCAAAACACATTAGTTTGTGGGATAAAACATTGCTATAGTGATGATGATGATGATAATATTAATCACTAAAATTTTTGGCTGTTGTACTGGGTTCTTTCTACTCAAATCCCAATATAATTATGCATTAAACAATTTTATTTTCAAAAAGAAAAAATTACTAATACAAGTTAACTCATTTAATTATTATCACTTAGCTAGTCAATAATGACTCCACAATTTGATTTAAAGATGTGATATGCCCAAAATGACCTACAATTGTATTTAATGCTCCACTATACTATGGCTAGAAATAATAGTGATATATTAGTCTAGAAATGTCCATAGCTCCTCATCCTAAATAACTAGAAATTTATTACCATTTCATAATTAATTGATTCGAACATCTAGTTTAGTTACAAAGAAAATATTTCAAAAAACTATTTCAACTAAAAAAATACCGAACTGGTACCAAACATTAAGAATAATGGCTATACAGATATGCCCTGCAATGTCTTTGCAATAGTGAGATTCCTCATTCTTCCTTTCTTGTTTTGTTTTAAATCTTTATGTTCTGTGATTTAAACAGACTTCTTCCAAATATAAAGCAAAACTATAAAGTGTAAGAAAAGGGTCAAATAAAATAAGTGCCTTTAATGGAAAGAATACAAATGATTATTCTCTAATTGTCTCAGAAATAAAAGAAATATAATCCTACGACAGTTCCTGGACTAATCAAAATAAAGTAAGTGAAAAAGAGAATTTCACAATTGTTTTTCTTTTGTTAAATCAGGTGCTATAAACTATAGAAATATGAATGAAAATTTTTATTAGCCTAAAGTGTCAACTGTCATGATTAATGTATTATGACAAATAAATTAGTTAAAATTATACTTATATGTTCTGGATTGTCTTATTCATTTTTAGATTTAATTTTTTTTCACTTATATGGCTCAGTAATCTACTTACTTCTAGCAGGAATCCTCTAATGTAGATATCAGCAGGTTTAGTGGCATATGCAACTCTAACAAGGATGAAAACACTCATGTGGTCCTTACTACTTGAAGCTGAAATTATTTAGTAGCTAAAAACATGAATTTTCACATTACGTAGATGAGTATAAATCCATATTTCCCTATAATGGGATCTTAGGCAAATAATTCAAACTCACTAAATCTTAATGGGGCACAGTAGCTCATGCCTGTAGTCTCAGTGCCTCAGAAGCTGAGGTGGGAGGATCTCTTGAGCCCCGGAGTTTGAGTTAAACTTGGGTAACATAGCAAGAACTCATCTCTAAAAAATAAGCTTCAAAAAAGAAAGAAATACAAACAACCTACAAAATATCAATATCTCATATGTTGAAAATGTGGATAATATCACTTTAAATATTTTTGTAAAAATTGAATAAGGTTATGGCATACCTGGCACATATTAAGCATTTCATAAATAGTATTTTATTAAAGGCATTATCATCCATCAGTGTAAAAGGATATGTTCAACTTATATTTGTTATATACCTTCTATATACTGTTTTAGTTGTTGCATGTACAAATATTTTTAAAATTTCTATAATAGAAAATTATATTTCTATGATAGAATAGACATACATAAAAAGTAATAAGAACAATTTATAATGTGTTGGTTACTGATGAGTACTGTGATGAAAATAAAAGTGGAGAGACCCACCAGGCTTCAGTTAAGAAATGGAATGTTTTGAAGTTATAAATGAAGTGGATGGGCAAGCCTTCACTGAGAAGGAATATTTAAACATATGTATCTTTCTACATTTTGGTGTGTGTCAAAGCACATAAAACGCCTGACATACAGAATTCCCCACTCCATTTTGGTTTACATTTTGGCATAAAAAAATAAGTCCAATTGAAATTATTTGTGTACGTATTTCTGTACCACATTGGCTGTATTAATGGAGACACACGCTTGCACTCAGAAACACACATATATATGTAAAATATATAAAAACTTTTATATATTTTATAATTTATAGTTTTAATGAATTTATGCATACTTCCACATATTTATACATATTTACATATCCTTATGTTGCATAATAAACTTCAAAGATATTTCAAATATCATTGAATGCTCCATTAGAAATGGACGAGCTGACATCATGATAAATTTCATGGAGATAGAGCTTGCTAGACTTAGTACCTGACGAAAGTTGCAGGTTGCAGTGAAGGAAGATGTCTGGAAAAATTCATGGGTTCTAGGTTGGGCAACAATATAAATGTTAGTGACACACAAGAAATAAAAATGTAGAAGGAAAAATAAGCTTGAATGGAAAGATAACATGTTTCACATAAAATATCATAGAATATACTGAGGTTTAAAGATCTAGGGAACATTAGATATAGATAAACGTCACGAAGCAACTTGTTACCTAGGCTATCATGTGTAATAGCCACATCACTCTCACATCAGAAAGGCTGATTAAAGGGATGTGATGCAAGTTAGCAGAGGAGAGAATTTCAAGAAGTTTTATGAGCAGGTCAAAAGATCATTGTATGTATCAATTATAAGGTCATGCTTACTGGAGGCAAGTGAAGATTTAGTGGAGTCCTGTATGTAGACGGGAGTTAGTAGCTTGAAAGCAAATGGGTTGTGAGATGAGGAGGTAGAGCTTGGTTTTGAAAGATATAGTAAGTCTTCTGTTAAGTGCCTCCATCATCTCAGCAATTTTCCCTTTATGACTCTTCTACATACTGTAGTTATTTGTCTCATGTCTATATCTGTGGCCAGGGTGTGAGCTTGACATGATGCATTATTCTTCAGTGAGCCCACCAAAATAACACAATTTTGTCACATGAGTATTCCTCCAAAAATAATGTGTTTGAGTGGATCGGTAATGAGAAAAATAGATGTTATTTTAGGGGTGCAAGGATTCTTTTTTCTTTTTTGTATTAAGTGTTAATGGATTTAAAGTGTATAAGTACCAAGTAGAGACAGAAAGAAATGACAATATGGAAAACACAGAAGCATGATAGGTAGATAACACCAGTCTTGGTTGAAAGGATGTGTGAGGATTGTGGAGAAAGGAGAGGAGGGTAGGGAATAAAATGAAGAACAAAGTGGGAGGGATAATCCTTGAAGAACAGTAACAAACCTGCTCTGAGCGTTGAAGACAGTGTAAGGATATAGTCACAGATTTAGGTGTGGTAATGGAAAACTAACTTTGATGTTTTCTATTTCTTTGTGAAATAGAAAATAAGGTCATATAGTGGAGGTAGGAGAGTAGGCAGAATGAAACACATATTGATTTTGCTTTAGCTCTGAAGACTAAAAGCCACCTGTACTTAAACAGAAAATTCAGATTTATTATACCAATAGGGCTAGTCCTGGATCCTATTTAGCCAGAACTTTTATTTTTCTGACTGCAGTTTTCCTTTCTTTTTACAGTTGACCACAGTATAGCTAAATGCACATCTTGATTTTGCATTAAAATGTAAGACTGCCCTCTTTCTGCAATAATTCAAACTGCAGGATGTTTGCATGTGATTAAATGTTGACACATTGTACTACCGTTTTTCAACTGTATGCATAGTAGAGCTCCAGATTTCCTCCAATTATTTAATTTATATATTAAGTTTAAGTATAAACTTAATGTTTAGTGTGTGTGTGTGTGTGTGAGAGAGAGGCAGAAAATGAACTTGAACAAGAATTAAGACACAGAAAACTTTAATGAGAATTAATAGTTAAGAAAATAATACTTATTATTCTTCTAGAAATACAAGAGAAAGTGCAACTATAAATTGACATTCTCCTTTATTGTGAATCCACTAACAGGTTTAGCCCTAGGTCTAGTAAGTCTCCAAGGAGATATTCAGGAATATATTCCAAAATCCCATGTTTATTGTCTTCCATAAGCTTTGGTTTGTATGCTTTGTAGTCAGGGCCATGCACAGCTCATGTGTGACTTGCTAGGCTGGCAAACTGCTGATGTGGCCGATTAGTTGGCTCCATTTGGAAACATGAATATTATGCTTAGAAAATAGTGTTGCTAAGTGAGTTTCTCTCACTCTCTTATTTTTTAACTAACTGAGCCAGAGGAATGGATTATACATATTTGTTGTTTTGCATATAAATTGGAAATTACTCCTTTCCCCTACCTGCAGTTGCAAATAATGTTTCCTCCACTTTTGTCTGAACAGCAATCTCCATTTTTAGATGAGCCCTGTCCAAATTATTGGAAAATTATAACATTTGCTGACAGCCTCCTTTAAAGTGATCAATCAAACTTCTCCAAGAGAAAATTATATTTTTAAAGGAAGCTTTATAACTTTAATGGCTTCAAAGGTCAAGTTATTTCTTTTCTTCAATTTAAGGACATGTTCTTGAGTCAATCAATATTAATTCAACATAAGACCTTAGTCCCCAATTTCACCTCTTATGTTAGCTAACATAATTAAACCTGTGTTGCTGAGCAAAATGTCAAATACCTTTTTCTTAGGACAAAGTACTCTATCTGGGTTTTCTTTTTCAATTTTCATTAATTTAAACAAGCAAATTTATTTTTATTGTATTGAGCATCAAATAAAAGCAATTACTCAGCATGCTTCTGGATTTGGTAATGAATATTTTTTTCTGAATTTGAGAATGAGGCTTTCCATGTGCCCCCTCCCCATCTGTCAGGCATAGAATTGGTTGGACTGTGGTGAGCAGCAGTCACTTGGGATAGTGTTTGCTTAGTCTTAGGTTCCAAACCCTCAGTAAAACTCATTTAAAAACTGACTGAGACAGAGCTCAATGCACTAAAAAGTCTTCTTGACTCTTTCTCAATCTCTCTTTTAATACCATGAGCACTGACCTGAATTAGACTGACTATTCTTTCTTGGTATTTAATTTCTGCATAATACTTTCCATATAATTCTCTGGAATTCTCGATGACTTTGTTCTAACTTTTACCTTAGATTTCTGGTAATTGCTTCAGATATACTTCTACCCCTCCATTTTAACAGTACTCAAAGCCCAGTGTAATGTGCTTTTCAAATAAGACCAATTCTAGGCTTCACTGAATCTACTGCACACACGATTACAAATCTAGAATTTTCTAAATGCTAATGGGAAAATGTTGAGACTTTTAGAGAACAAGTTTATTCAGAAAAAAAAAACTGAGCTAAAATGTAAGATTAGATATTCCAATAAACTAAATGCCAATAATGTGTATTTTTCCAATATGCCATTCTGAAACAAAGCAGAGTATTCAGATAATTGTGATACTATTTGATACATTATTGTTTATTGGTCTCTCTTCTGACATTTAAAATAAGAAATGTTCATTTATTCCTTAAGTAAATATTACAAGACTGCTAATTGTACATCATTTCATTATGGATGTGTACACCCACACATATAAAATTATATATGTTAAAATATTTGGACTGGTGTGTGTGTGTATTTTGAGTAAAGTAAAAAAATGATGAAGAGGACCCAGATTAAAATGTGAAGTTAATGAAGCTGCTACTATACACCATGTCTTTTACTTCAAAAACACTTCAGCCTTGTCAATGTTACAGTATGTATTGGTTGGTTAGTTTAAGCTAAATAGTGTATGGTCAGTTTCTCTTGTTAGAGAATTCAGAAGCATTTAATCCAACATTACAACGCATAAATGATGACTTCCTATTTTTTATATTTCTGACGCTTTGACATCTGAGGCCTTGCTGATCCTAGAGACACTGTCCAACAAGGCCTAGCCAATTCCTAGAGACAGTAAAGGACTCACTGGCCTGCAAGGGTGACTTTCATATACAAACTAACCAACTAGCCCACATTCCCACCACTTCCTTTAATCAGGCTTACACCCTCAGGGTCACTATTCCCCTGCCCTAATCACCCAAGGGCCAGTACCAGACAACTAGGGACAACCCTGGTGCTCCAAAACATACTGAAATTATTAAAATTATCAGATCTTGAACCTACTGAGACAGAAATCACAATAAAGGCTCCTGCCCACATTCCATATTTTTTTCTCACTTTTCTCTCTCTTTTCTCTCTCTTTTCTCTCTCTTTTTTCTTTTATTTATTTATTTTTATTTTTTATTTTACTTTAAGTTCTAGGGTACATGTGCACAACATGCAGGTTTATTACCTATGTATACATGTGCCATGTTGGTGTGCTGCACCCATTAACTCGTCATTTACATTAGGTACATCTCCTAATGCTATCCCTCCCCCGTTCCCCCACCCCCTGGCAGGGCCCGGTGTGTGATGTTCCCCACCCTGTGTCCAAGTGTTCTCATTGTTCAATTCCCACCTATGAGTGAGAACATGCGGTGTTTGGTTTTCTATCCTTGCGATAGTTTGCTCAGAATGATGGTTTCCAGCTTAGACTCCTACACAATAATAATGGGAGACTTTAACACCCCACTGTCAACATTAGACAGATCAACGAGACAGAAAGTTAGCAAGGATGTCCAGGAATTAAACTCAGCTCTGCACCAAGCGGACCTAATAGACATCTACAGAACTCTCCACCCCAAAACAACAGAGTATACATTCTTCTCAGCACTTTTGTCTCTTGACTCACCTTGGTCACCGCATGTGGCTCTGCACGGCTTGGAATGCACCTTCCTTTTGTCAACTGTGAGTACCAAATTATCTTTTTAAAGGCAGTCATCTCCCAATCTGTTGTCCTAACTGTACCTGATTAAAAATCAACACTCACTATTTCACTCCAGGGTTATCATAAAATAAAAGCAAATACCCAGCATGCTTCTGCATTTCATAATAAATTTCAAGGCTTTTGTTCATTGTTCCATCTACCAAGCATAGAATTAGATGGAAAGTGGTGAGCAGTGGCCAGCTGGGATGGTGACTACTGGGGTGGTGAATACACAAACTTCAGATAGACCTAATTCTTATCTAAACCAGATCTTTGCTAATTGTCATAATAAATATTAAAAATGGATTTTCATTGGTGAAAGTAGACACATGTTTATAACTACTGTGGGTGACGTATATAATCCCTCTTTAGTGAAATGAATGTCTTTCAAGACATGTAGATGAGCAAGAATAGTTTAGAGATACTCTGCTAGACTGAGTTGGATGTGCTGTAGTGAAATGGCCCTGTGTCTGGTCAGATTTGGAAGTTTTAGATTGCCTACCTTTTCCATAGTATTAGCATATTTAATCCTATCTCTATAATAGTGTTGTGTTTTATTTTAATAAATGTTTAATGCCACATCAGAATATTTACAAGACAGAAAGCTGGTGTGTCATCTAATCTAGAGGGCATGTTATATAATTGTGCTGGGAAGTTTTACAAGGTAATTATTTCTCTAATAAATGTGAGGGATATATTGTAGTTTGATATTGGATTTTATTACCTTAGAAGGATTAGAGTGTGGTGGATTAACTAACTACAATTTATCTTGAAGTATTCAGTGGCTCCAAAAGTCTACCAAAAAATCCCTTATAATTTTGTATGGCCAAACTGGTTTAGGTCAGTTCCAACTCCCTGAAATACAGCATTCTTTTTTTTTTATTTCTTATCCTTTCTTCTTAATATGTTCCTATAATGAATAGATCCATTTCACACCATATACTTCCTAGATCTTCTTCTGCTACTACCATGATTATGTGTGTGTTGGGGCAGGTTGAGTTTAATGATTTCATAATTTTAATTGAAGCAAACCTGGCTAGCACTCAAAGTTTGTACCTGGTGGTTGGTTTATTCAAATGGGCAGCTTTACGTAACTATTTTGCATGTTACTGATATTTCCAAAACTTGGTTATAAGCTCTCTGTATATTTATGCTATTGTTTACTCTCTCAAAAACCCTAGCTAAATGCTCAAGTAGAATTTCAAATGTTTGCATCTTAGGGGTGTATTTCTAGGAACAATATTATTATTTCCTCCTGCAATGTTGAATTAAATGGTTATATCAATAAATAATTTTCTGGGTGCTTCCGCGGGAGTTCCACATGTAACTCTAGGAATTCTCCATAGGCAAACTGTGACTATTCTCATGGTATGTTTGAGAAAAATAATGTATTTTTATTTGCATAAGCAATCATTTGCTAAATACTTAAAATATGCAAGACATTATAATGGGTGCTGGGAAAGGAAAATGCAGTGTTAGCAAAGCAGCCCAGGCTTTCAACACATTTAAAATCAAATCTGGAGAAAAAATATATTTGTGAACAATTGTCTGTTTCAGGTAGGGGTGACTGAAGGCCACCTTTCACTAGTCGACTTCATACAAATGGTGTTGTGTGCCAGCAAATATTTCTTCACCTACTGTCTTTTTACCAAGAAATTACTCCACTCTTCTCTTCTGTTTTGGACTCTTCTCTTGCTTTCTTCTTTCCTTTTCATTCTGTTCTTTCTTTTCCTTTTCTTTTTTGTTTGTTTATTTGTTTTTCATCACCTCACCTGAGAATCCTTTCCCTTTCTTTCCTGGCATTGTCCAGATTTACTTCTTTATATTTCATACCAGGACTAACCTGCCCCTCTGATAGGACATATTTTGAATAGTGTTATATTTTATGTGTGATAACATGCATACATTAAAAATATTTTATATATGTAGTGTAACATAATATGTGTCTTGAAGTACTTAGCTTTATGATTGGTTTGCACTCAGAGTGATAAGATCAGGTAATAACATTCCAGAAATCATATTCATCTTTCTTCATCTAAATATCTAAGAAGTTTTGTTAATTAATTATTAACCTCAAAATGATATTTCTTGTGTGAAGTAAACAATGCCCAATTAGTGTGTTCACTTTGAAACATAGTAAGGACCCCTCCACTTTTCCTAACAGGTGTAATAATTTTGCAGGCACAATAGCTTTTGACCACTAGGCAGTCACATTAGTTCTTCAGTCCTGGAAGACACACACAAACAAAACTTGCTATTCCCATCAGAATGCTGGGTTTTCTTGGAATAAGCACTTTAAGCTGTATATTATCTTGAATGGGTAATTACATATTCCCTATGATAACAAGTGGCAGAATTTTTAGTGAACTAACTTGCCTATTTGCTGGATTTCGGAATAAGAATTGTTTTCATTGTTGCTTATTCGCTAATAAGATAGGGAAAAAGGAGATTTATAATGTTCAGCTACCTATAAATGTGCTGTGCTGCCAATATTTATATACTTATTTTATTTATTTATGTATTTATTTATTTTTGAGACAGAGTCTCACTCTGTTGCTGGAGTGCGGTGTCGCGATCTCTGCTCACTGCAACCTCCGCCTCCCGGGTTCAAGCAATTCTCCTGCCTCAGCCTATTGAGTAGGTAGGACTACAGGGGCCCGCCATCATGCCCAGCTAATTTTTGTATTTTTAGTAGAGACAGGGTTTCACCATGTTGGCCAGGATTCTCTTGATCTCTTGACCTCGTGATCCGCCTGTCTCGGCCTACCAAAGTGCTGGGATTTTATATTTTTTAATGGTCAGAGAAGCTTATCAACAGTTAACACCCTAACTTTTGATAGGATATTTTCCTGGATGTGATCTCTCTACCCTGAAGCAGAAGGGCTGTCCTGACACATTATCTTGGTCTGAACTTATATCAGTATCCCTTGCTTGGTTGTGGGAAAAAGTAGAATAAGTACTGTATAGAAATGTACTGTATAGAAACTTTTGAAGTGCCAATATAAAAAAGTTAATGAGAAATCATAGTCCTCTTCATAAACAAGTTTACTGGACCTGAGCCCTAAAGAATGAGTAGAGTTGCAATAAGAGTGATAGGAAAGATCATTCAGGCAATGGGAACACCCAGAGGCAAGCAAGGCATGAAAGCCTGAAAGTACATGATTATTTCTAAGTTGTGATTGAGACAGGTTTAGATACATTTGAAGATATGTGTGCATTTTGTTACATTAAGTAGACAGTTGCAATGCTTGAATACTAATAAGCCAACACTTCCTTTTATTTATAAAACATTATATTAAATAAAAATTGATTGAATAAATTTTTAAGTTTCTCCTCAGATACAAAGTCAGCATATAGGATTGACAGGGACTGCACAAAGTTGAGAGAATCAATGTACTTTGTTTATTTATTTGTTTATTGTTTAATGGTAAGAGAAAAAGGACGAGTTTCAGAAACTCTATAAACTATTACCGTGAAGGAAAACTACACATTCAGCCATGAAGAATAACATGAAGGAACCAACTCAGATGTGTTCATCCTGCTCTATGCACTACTAAGTCCCTTAATCGCTCTTGTTTCCATTAAAAAACTCTACCCATATCTCAAAGATCCATTTAATACCCGTCTGCTCTAAGCATTGTGTCTGTATTAGTTTGTTTTCATGCTACTATGAAGAAATACCCTACACTGGGTAATTTATAAAGAAAAGAAGTTTAATTGACTCAAATTCTGTGTGGCTGGGGAGGTCTCAGGAAACTTGGAATCATGGTGGAAGGCACATCTTCACAGGACAGCAGGAGAGAAAATGAGTGCCAAGAGGGGAAATGACAGATGCTTATAAACCCATCAGATCTCGTGAGAACTCACTCACTATCATGAGAACAGCATGGGGGAAATTGCCCCCATGATTCAATTACCTCCCACTGGGTCTTTCCCAAGACATGTGGGGATTATGCGATTACAATTCAAAATGAGATCTGGTTTGACACAAAGTTAAACCATATCATTCTGCCCCTGGACCCTCCCAAATATCATGTCTTGAAATTTCAAAACAAAATCATGCCCTTCCAACAGTCCCCCAAGTCTTAACTCATTCCAGCATTAACCCAAAAGTCCAAGTCCAAAGTCTCATCTGAGACAAGGCAAGTCCCTTCCACCTGTGAGCCTGAAAAATCCAAAGCAAGGTAGTTACTTCCTAGACACAATGGGGGTACAGGCACTGGGTAAATACACTAATTCCAAATTGGCCAAAATGAAGGGACTAAAGGCCTCATGCAAGTCCAAAATCCAGTTGGGCATTTAAATCTTAAAGCTCCAAAATGATCTCCTTTGACCCCATGTCTCACATCTGGGTCACACTAACGCAAGGAGTGGGCTCCCACAGCCTTAGGGAGCTCTGCCCCTGTGAATTTGCAGGGTACAGTCCCACTCCCAGCTGCTTTCACAGGCTGGTGTTGAGTGTCTGAGGCTTTTCCAGGTGCACAGTGCAAGCTGTCACTGGATCTACCATTCTGGGGTCTGGAGGACAGTGGCCCTCTTCTCACAGCTCCTCCAGGCAGCACATCAGTGGAGACTCTATGTGGGGGCTCCAACCCCACACTTCCCTTCCACACTGCCCTAGCAGAAGTTCTCCATGAGGACTCTGTCCCTGCAGCAAACTTCTGCCTGGACATCCAGGCATTTCGACGAATCCTCCAAAATCTAGGTGGACACGTTTCCCTACATCTTCTAACATCTAGGCAGAGGTTTAAAAACCTCTATTTTTGAATTCTGTGCACCCACAGGCTCAATACCATGCGGAAATGGCCAAGGCTTGGGGCTTGCACCCTTTGAAGCTACGGCTTGAGCTGTACCTTGGCTCCTTTTAGCCACAGCTGGGATGCAGTGCACCAAGTCCTGAGACCGCACAAAGCAGCAAGGCCCTGGGCCTAGCCCACGAAACCAGTTTTTCCTCCTAGGCCTCTGGGCCTGTAATAGGAGGGGCTGCTGTGAAGACCTCTAACATCCCCTGGAGGCATTTTCCCCATTGTCTTGGTGATAAACATTTGGCTCCTTGTTACTTATGCAAATTTCTGCAGCTGACTTGAATTTCTCCTCAGAATGTGGGTATTTCTTTTCTATCACATAGTTAAGCTTCAAATTTTCTGAACTTTTATGCTCTGCTTCCCTTGTAAACGTAAGTTCCAATTCCAAACCATATATTTGTGAATACGTAAAACTGAATGCTTTTAACAGCACCCAAGTCACATTAGATACCCTAAATCATCTCTCTCAAATTCAAAGTTCCACAGATCTCTAGGGCAGGGGCAAAATGCCACTAGTCTCTTTGCTAAAACATAGCAAGAGTCATCTTTATTCCAGTTCCCAACAAGTTTCTCATCTCCACCTGATACTACCTCAGCCTGGACTTCATTGTCCATATCACTATCAGCATTTTGGTCAAAACCATTTAACAAGTCTCTAAGAAATTCTAAATTTTCCCACACTCTTCCTGTCTTCTTCTGAGCCATCCAAACTGTTCCAGCCTCTGCCCATTACCCAGTTCCAAAGTTGCTTCCACATTTTTGGGTATCTTCACAGCAGTGCCCCTACTACCCAGACCCAATTTACTATAGTAGTTCATTCTCAAACTGCTGTGAAGAAATACCTGAGACTGGGTAATTTATAAAGAAAAAAGGTTTAATTGACTCACAGTTCAGCATGGCTGGGGAGGTCTCAGGAATCTTCAATTATAGTGGAAGGCACCTCTTCACAGGGTGACAGCAGAGAGAATGGGTGCCAGCAAGAGAAATGCCAAATGCTTATAAAACCATCAGGTCTTGTGAGAACTCACTCACTATCATGAGAACAGCATGGGGGAAACCACCCCCATGATTCAATTACCTCCCACTGGGTCCCTCCCATGACACATGGGGATTATGGAATTATAGTTCAAGATGAGATTTGGATGGGGACACAAAGCCAGATCATACCAGTGACCTTTCTAATGTTGTTGTCATTGTCTTTCACATTACTTTTTCTAATATTTAAAGTATCACCTCTATACATAACATGCATTGTCACTTAAGAATTCAGAGAACACTGTATTTTTACGACTACACTACAGACTCTTAAAAAGATATGGGCAAGGATTCCTTTAAATACAACCTTGTAGCATATTAAGCCTTTATCAAATATTTGTTTAGTAACAATCATTACAGAGAATCTAGAAAGTAATATTATCGTTCTTAGTCCCTTGAATCTTTTGAATGTGGATAATTTCGAAATGCAATGACACATATAGCAAATAAATGCAAATCAGCAGGAAACCTTAATTAGTACTCAATTTTAGTAACCCATATATCTAGAGAGAATGGCACATTCTAAAACAGAGCCTGGTGTTATGCACCTTGTATAATGACCTTTCTAAAGCAAGAAAGTAGACTGAATATTATATATGGATTGCTAAACAATAAAAATGATTTCGAAGTAAAGTCTCAGTTAACCCAGCCTCTTGATTAGTTACAACTTTCCACTTATTAAGCTGTTCTTTTAATTAAAATGTTCCTATGTAAAAATTATAAGATACTTTATTATTTAGAAAAAAATAGTAAACATTGAGCTTTTACGCCATATCCCTTCCACAAATTTCCTGTTACATTTTCTGTTTTCTAAATAAAGGAGCATTTAAAAAATGCTAAACAGAACTTTCAGAAGGTATATCATAATTCTGTCTGCCTTTTTGATTGATACCATGATCAAGCAGTGTGAGTTTTATTTATTTCCTCGTGTGACAGAATTCAATATTACCTTGATATTAATCCTAGTTGCTTAGCTTTTCCCTATTTTGATGGCTAGATAAGTTCATTTCTGAATAATGACTAGGCAAAGTTGTTAGAAGCATGTATTTATCCCTTCTAGAATTATTTGTCCAATACATATTTAGTGAATACCTACCAGGGAGAAGACACTATGCTATATATGTGTGATACAAGGGAAAGTGAACGTGAGATAGTCACAGTCATACTAAAACTTCTTTCCTACCACTTGAGTATATTTTTCAACAACTCTCCCCTATACAATCCTACTTATCCAAAAATGTGACCATACAAATTTAGAGAGGAAGAATAAACTTACAAATTATTATTTTTGTACCAATTTTATGTATACTTAAAGAAATTGTATACATGTAGCTTCTCCCATGTAACAATAGTATGCCTTATTTATTGTTGTTGTTGTTGGTACTTCTATTGAGGTAGATATTGTTTGATCAAACTATTAATTCATGTAGTATTATCAACTCAACTCTTCTATTTTGATGTACTTTTTGTCATAACATAGAGTCACAGAATATTAGCACAGAAAGAGTCCTCAGAGTTCAAGTAGTGCAAATCCCAATTTTACTATAAACTTTGCCCAGAGAAGCAAAATTAATCATTAAATGTGACAAACTCAATTATTTATTACTAAAACTGGTCACTATGATGCATTACAATAGAATGTGAAAACTTACTGCATGCTTAGTATTCGAATGGCACAAGGTATCAGTTAATATGCCTGCCATTTTGTGCTCCTCAAGTACCATTTTGAGAAGCTTATCAAATCACTAAGAAGCATCAACGGCTTCTTAGTGATTTGCATTACACAAATATTAATTTTTTTAAAAAGTATTTATTTTAAGTTTGCAAGCAATAAGAAATTTAAAAATCATGTTTTAATTCTTCTGAATTATTTAAATATAGAGTTTTGCAATGAACACCAGCATATTCCTCAAAGTGAAAGGAAACCAACTTTCATTCTATGTGAATATATTTTCCTAGCATAACATAGAATAGATTATATAATTTCTGGCATCTATGGAGTCAGACTATTAAAAGAAGGTAACTCCTTCATGAGCCAGCTGTGATATCACTATGAGATTTTTATGCTGTCTCATAAGAGGCACACACACTGCTACTCCCCTCTAATAATAACCAAGTCAGAGCTACCTCAACTCATTACTGTTCTCTCCACTGTTGAGTCAACCCAAGAAGACCTTCTCAAAGACTTCTGTCTTGGCAGCTACTGCTAACTGGTCAATTTTGACAAATAAAATAAAATCTACTTAATTTTTTTGATAAATTATAATCTTCACATTAAATCACTTTTCTTTCTATTTAATTTTTCAGAAGCTAGCATTTAAGTTATGATTTAATAGTAAATCATGTGCCATTATTGTAGCCACTGTCATGCAATACAATGCAGCAGTTGACTACCTATATTGATATAAAATATAGTTAACAAGTTTTTTGTTGTGCGTGTAGTATATTTCAAATATTGCGTCCTTGTCTTAAGATCAGAGATTAGATTTGAGGAGAATATATGATTATGTAATTAAAATGCCAAAATGAATGTTAGGGTGTGTACATTTAGTAAGAGTTCAAAGGCAGCAAAAATACTTTGAGTCTAGTAATTGCAAAGGACTTAATAGAAATTGTGGCATTTGAGTAAGACTTGAGAGGGTTAGTTTTTTGTTTTTTGTTTTGTTTTTCTTTTTGACAGGGTCTTGTTCTGTCACCTAGGCTGGAATGCAGTGGTGCGATCACGGCTCACTGCAGCTTTGACCTCCTTGGGCTCAAGCAATCCTCCCACCTCAGCATCCCAAGTAGCTGAGACTACAGACACATGCCACCATGCCCAGTTAATGTATTTTTATATTTTATTCTATTTTATTGTTTTGAGACAGGGTCTTGCTTCGTTACCCACGGTGGAGTACAGTGACATGATCACGGCTCACTGCAGCCTCAACCTCCTGGGCCCAAGCAATCCTCCTGCCTCAGCCTTCCAAAATAGCCTTCAGCTGGATCTACAAGTGTACACTACCACACTTAGCTAATTTTTGTATTTTTTTGTAGATATGGGGTTCCACCATGTTGCCCAGGCCAGTCTCGAACTCCTGGGCTCAAGCGATCTGCATGTCTCAGCCTCCCAAAGTGTTGGGATTACAGGCGTGAGCCAAGCCAGTCCTAATTTTTCATTATTACTTTTTATTTTGTAGAGGTGGAGTTTCACTATGTTGCTCAGGCTGGTTTCCAACTCCTGGCTTCAAGTGATGCTCCCACCTTGGCCTCCCAAAGTGCTGGGACTACAGGTGTAAGCCATCGTACCTAGCCCAAATTTTATATTTTCTACAAAGCAGATAGCAAAGGGTTTATGACTGAAAAAAAAAGTACCAATATAAATCTACGTTGTAGTAGGTGATGAAGCATATATATATATAGCAACTTAATTCTTGTAAAAACAACAGTGAATAAAAGAAGACATTTATTTCATAGTCCATTGGGGATCACTATTATAATTTGGTAGGTAGGGTTTACTTCATTTATAAAAGTTTTACAAGAAGTAAAACATAAGTGCTTTCTTGAGCATAAAGCAATTCACTCCTGTGCTATTCACTTCTGCATAATCTATGTGCACCTTGAAAATGTGGGTTATGAAAAACTAGTTTAATATGAATTTTAGCCTTGAATAATGAAAATTAAGCATTTTAGATGATGACTCTTGGCGATATACTGTTAAGTAATTTCATGCATTATCTTTGTCATCACAGTAGATGAAAAATTTGAAGATTAAAGATTAAAGGACATGATTGTTATCACATACCTACTAATTGTTAAATCTTAGGCTGGAACTCATGTTTTAGTAATTATATGAGAATGACATATTGAACTAAGGAGGTCTTCTTTTGTTATTGTTGTCCACCTTTGACTTCTTCTTTGGATGATGATCTCAAATGAACATCATCTTTGATTATCACCAGTCCTGCGAAGTGCCACGTTTTTAAATTCAATTCCCAATTCATAATTCCCTCCATGAAAATGATCTGGAAACATAATCTTTATTATAGCTAACTATTATCACCATGTAATCTTTATTATAGCTAACTATTATCACCACGTAACATCCATGGGAATTATCACAAGTGAGGAAATAAAGAAGGCACTTCATTTTACTAGAATGGACCTAGGAACTATAGGGCTGTTTGAGTTATTCTTCTTTTACAAAGGAGATCCTGAGTCTTTGGCTATTGTGCCATGCTCCAAGCACATTAAAAGTTATTAAAAAGCTAAAACTTTCAAGCAAACTTTAAAAGCCATTAGCTTTAATAGAAATACTCTAGGGAAAATCAGTGTGAAATCTCTTTCCTTATTATTAACCTATTATGAAAAGTTATATTTCTAAAGATTTTACTGTAAGACTGTGCTGATTTAGTTTATGCCCAAAGGAGAAGAAATTCATTATAAAAAATGAATTATGACAAAGGACCAGTTAGAAGAATCTCAGTTTGGGAATTGCTTTCTAAGGGTACCAGGGAATATGTTGTGATGTTGTACTTGCATTTATTAATCTCAGTCTCAAAATTAAGGAATAATCTCTCTAATTTATGGTATTTAAAAAACGAAATTTGGTAAGGAGAAGAAGCCGTTAAGAAAATACATTTTATCAGTATCTCCAAAATAATAAAAGTATTTTTAAATGTTTCAATGATTTCTTATTTAAGACTTTTAAAAATAATTTCAGCCCTTATCACACCTTCAGTTGATATATTCCTTAAGGCAACCCCTGGTATGTAGATGTTTGTTTAGTTGAACTTTCAATCGTTAATGTGCTTCAGGTACAGGACTATTTAAGAGAATTTCTTCTGATAGAACATGAAATCACGTTTAATCTAGTGAATGTCAAATGAATTTCAGAGTTGCTAAGAAACATAAAATTCCAGAGGTTGAATATTAGCATAACTTTCATCTCAGCAATTTACAATGCCAACACAGGTCCTATTTACCAACTATTTCTTGTCCAAATGTTTATCCTTCAATTGAGGAGGCTTCAGAGCTTAACAAGATAAATAACTGGAATTATATCGATTAAATCATTTCTATATAAATTTAAACACTAAATTTGAGATGTAGTAAATGAGTAACACCACATATTAGCAAATTTATGGCAAAACCTAGAACAATAATTCTAGTAGCTCCTATCCCATTTTCCAAGGAAACTAAAGATTATTAATTATTTAGTTCATGGTGAGACATTTATGCATATATTATTCTCTGCAGAACTTTGTTGAAACAAAGTGAGCAGACCTGAGTTACTTTCACAATGTGAAGGCCCTGATATTTTCTCATTCCTTAGCCTTCTGCAAAGCATATAATAGATATTTATTTGATCTGTACATTTGTACTTGAACAAAGCGCAGTACAACTTATTTGGTTGCATTGTCCTTCGTTCTATTTGAAGATGTAAAAAGAATTAGAATACAATGTTGTTTGGGAGTAACCTGCTCAGAAAACACTACACTGTTTTATTATAACAAAGTAGACTACTTCAGGCTGATAGGAGCCATGATCCTATAAAAGAAAATGTCCTCTTAAAACTCTAAGATTAATTTTATTTGTTCAATTATAATTTAAAATAATCAATTCATAAGTGTGGCAGGTTTATTACATATTTTATTTTATAGTCCCAAGCACTACTTATTAAGCACTCCATTTTGTAATGCCACTTAAAAATTCTTAAGTTAGATATGTACATAGTTGCTTTGTATTAAACTATGTTGATATTTTAAATCTATAATTTGGGGTTAACATTGAATTAATTTAAATGATAGTTAATAAAAATTTAGTAGTAATTTTCTTAATAATGAACAAGAAAACAAACTCAAGCATTTTATTTTATCTTCTTCATGTATTCCCTGATAAAGTAAGTACGCAATCAGTAATTAATCACCTCTAGCCAACAATGAGGGTATTGTAATTCTGGAAAATAATGAATTCTCCTAAAATGGTTGGATAGTAACCAAGCGAGCTTAGCACAAACATTAGGATAATAGAAAAGAGATGATGAAAATATGCTGTGCTCTGCTGGAAAAGCCGAGACAAAGTAAATTAATATGCAAATATGCAAATAAGTGGAAGTGATTTCTGAATGCACATTAAAATGGAGCAAACTTTGCTGAAGTTTCATTTGCATTTCCACAGTGATGATCTTTGCCTTTACCTGTTATAGATTAATAAGTTGCTTAACAATTTAATTTAAGAGATATTTTGGATTCTAACACAACATAGGTTAAAAGAAAACAAAATTAAGTGGAAAACGTCAAATAAATTGTGATTGATAGTGAATATTGTAGTAAGACAAAGCACAACCCCACATAATATAAAACGAATTGCCATTTTCTACCTACTAGGAAAAGATAGTTTCATTAACTTATGCCTATTCCCTTTTAGAAACAGCCAGGAAATAACAAAAGAATAAGGGAATCCTACATCTAATACTTGTTTACCCATCTAATGATTATGTTATACAAATTACTAAGCCTGTCAAAATTTTGAAACACTCCACAATGTTTTTGTTTAGAGCAAATGTGGATATTTCTTAACCCTCAAGATATAGATAGGTGATAAATAGAAAATAGATAGATACCTAGACAGATAGATTTATTTTCCTCATCTTCTTCTTCAATAATTCCCACTAAGTACCTTCCTGCCTACCTAATTTGTCTTAATGACAGTGCCTATAATTTTGGTAATTAGCATAAACTTTTTGAATTTGTATGGAATTTTTTTTCCACAATTATCTGAATTATTAATGGGTAATGATAATTTCTTAAGCTTCCTTGTATCCTGAGGATTATATATCCTTCCAGTCACATTTCCAGAAGTAATTAGGCAATGTTATAATTTCATAAGAAATATCAATTTTTATTGTTCACATTGTTAAACAAATAGACAGGGTTTTTAATAAATGAATGTATTTATTGTAAGAGCAACAATTTTGGAAACTCCAAATAAACACAGACCTATCTCCTTTTTCTTTTGAAATATTGGCTTTCTCCTCCAGAAAGTTTGGTGCAAGAGAGAGAAAGAGAAGTAGGTATTGAGATAATAAAATAAGTGGCATTATAATAAAATAAATCATTAGAATACTATATGAGAATTTGAAAAATGTTTTGAATAAGTATGCAATGACTGACACTGACATAAGAGGCATCTGTGGTCTTTGCAATAAATGAAACTTGTGCTCATTTTGGTTCCTGAATTAAATTATTAAAGTTACTTTCACAGTTAAATGCAATCTGATAGCATTCAGTAGAAGTTTTATTTATCATATATTATTTAATCTGTGCTTGGAGCAAGGACAGAAGAAGTGTCAGAAGTTAGAGAAGGGAAGTCCTCTCTGGGCTTCACAAGTGCAGCCAGGTGTATTAACTCCCACAGTCGTGGTGAGACTTTCAGTCTCTGTTTGGTGGAAAGATCCCACCATGAAAGATGGCCAGGTTTCAGGCCAAATGGTGGACTTGATCTCTACAGTTTGTCCTTATAGACCCAAATGTGTAAAATATTTTGGAAGAATTATCCAAAGAAGAATTCTGTACTTTAATATCAGATTTTCATTTGAGAAGAGAAATTTACTACAAAGTTGAAGGACAGATATGATGAGGACATGTGTTGTAACTGTTACTTTTTTTTTCTCATTTCCCACTTAAATTACACTGAATTGAAAGATTTCTATCCTAGGGCTTACTGGAGCTTGTTGGTCAGTAAAGGAGAAACAGGGTCTGACTTGGAATAAAGAGGCCATTGAATGTCTCTGAGTTTCCAAAGCAATGAAACAGACCTGAAATCCTTGAAATTCTGAGAAGAGAAAGTACATTTCCTCAATGTATTAAACTTCCATTTTACATATCAAAATCCGCTCATGATGAGTGTTAATTCTACATACCCAGGTTATAAACTAGAACTAACAGAAAATTGGATCTTCCATTCCCAAAGTATCAAAAGACAACTGAAAGGGGGCAAGTGCCGTGCCTCACCCCTGTAACACCAGCGCTTTGGGAGGCCAAGGTCGGCAGATTGCCTGAGGCCAGGAGTTCAAGACCAGCCTGCCCAATATGGTGAAACCCCATATCCACTAAAAATACAAACATTAACCCATTGTGGTGACACACCTGTAATTCCAGCTATGCAGGAGGCTGAGGTATGAGAATCACTTGAATCTGGGAGGCAGAGGTTGCAGTGAGCTGAGATGGCACCACTGCAGTTCAACCTGAGCAACAGAGAGAGACCCTGTCTCAAACAAACAAACAAAAACAAAACAAACAATGAAAAAGACAACTGAATGTGATGAATGTGATGAAATGAGTCCTGATGATCCCTTCAGCACGTAAGTTATCTTCAGTAGGATTAGAATAAAGCCATGAGCAGAGTATTTTTTGATGTGCTTTGGTCTGAACCACATGGCAAGTCCCTGTAGATCATGGGATTAGGCTGAGAAAAAACTCATATTTGAATGTTTAAGCCACATTGGCTCCTATGATTGTGAAATATATCAAGGAATGTCCAGGTGTCCTATAGCTGGGAGATAAATGCAGAAAGAAGGCAAGATGAGTGGCTGGTGAGCCACTCAAGGGAGTTTATGGTGGGTGAGAATTGAGCCTGTGTCCATGAGTGGCAGGACAGAGCTTGGACAGTAGATCGAAAGAGAGTGAATTTAGGCCTGAATGAGTACCTGATGCCCCTAGGTATTATTGTGAGACTGTCTTGGCACAAAATACCAGGGTTCCATTAGTGAGAAGAGATTATCTTCTTAAGATCATTGTGCTTAATCTGTGGCCAGAAAGGCCATCAGGATGACTGGCATCCAGAAGAAAAGGGGTTGACAATGATATCAAGACAAATATAGGATAGGACAATACTTACATCAGAAAGCAAAAAATTCCCTCCTCTTTGATTTGAGGTCCTGAAAGCATTTTTTCTGCACATACTTAGACACGATCTGGGAGAGTAGTAGTGGATAAGAGAAAAGGTATGAAGGAATAGAAATTTATCAAAAACGTGAAGTATCTCAAACAATTGGAACAGAATGACAGTGGACTATTTTTCCCCACAAGTTTTCTTCTTTTTTTTTTTTCAGACGGAGTCTCACTCTGTCGCCCAGGTTGGAGTGCTGTGGTGCAATCTCGGCTCCCTGCAACCTCTGCCCCCCAGGTTCAAGCAATTCCCCGCCTCAGCCCCGCAAGTAGCTGGGATTACAGGCACCTGCCACCAAGCTGGGCTAATTTTTTTGTATTTTTAGTAGAGACTGGGTTTCAGCATATTAGCCAGGATGGTCTTGATCTCCTGACCTCATGATCCACCCGCCTCGGCCTCCCAAAGTGCTGGGATTACAGGCATGAGCCACTGCACCCTGCGCCCCCTCTCCCCCGACCCCCAACATTTTCAAGCAGAGCGGAAGCTTGGATGAGCAGGTCACATGAAGTCAACAAATTTACCATTTTTTTACGTTGTGGCAAATACATTTGGGACTCATTAACCAAGTGTCATGGCCAGGCTGTAGCTAAGTTGTCAATAGATTGGTGTGGAGTTAGGGCAGAGCACCCAGGGGATATCATCTTATGTTCCAGGCAGGAAAACCAACCCAAAGGTCATGGGGCTTTTATGGCAAGTTCATTGGTCAAATGCCTTTACACACATGGTAATGGTCACCAGGAGCTTTATGGTAAGTGATTTGAATTCTGTTCTCAATTGCAGTCGTATATAGGCTAACTGTAACAAAATATTAGCATATCCAAGTTTCAATTAAAAAAAATTTCTTATGAAAAGAACAGCCTATCAGACACTATCTAAAGTTGGCCCATTTCCCCAGCCAATATTTTATCCATACTTACTCAGAGCCCTCTGTTTGACAAGTGCCCACTTATTTCTGAGATATGGTATTGCTCAGAAAATCTGTATATTTATGGGGAAAAGTTCCAGGCGTCAGTGATCAGTATGGATTTTGTCTCTCAGAAGAGAGGTAGCATGATTTAGATTTGGCTGAACAAGAGGTGGCACAAGTTGAGGGGACTTTCAAAACATAGAAACCCAGCCTTACAGAAGCCAACCCAAAATCTACAAAGTCAGAAACTACTCTGTACAAGAGTAGGACACAAACAGAAAAATCTAGAGGTCAGTTTTCTATTCAAGAAATAGTTGTACAGAATCATTTTTCTATTCTATCCTCAGAAAAGTATCTGGAATATTATAATTATGATGTTCCTACTTACCTAAAAAATCTAATTGCTTAGCAATGCTTCCCTTTATTCATAATTAGATCACTCATAAAGCATATACCTTCATGCGAAGGAGAGATAGAAAAGAAAAAGAAACAAAGAGAAAGAAAAAAAGAGATTACTTCACTACTGTTTGGCAATTATGTTTCTGTATTTTAATCTAGTTCACGTAAGATAATTTTTAAAAAGTTTCATGAAAATATCCATTTGTTTGCACAGAATACTTATCAAATAAGTAGGAAACAATTTTGATTTTATTAGCATTACCTAATAAGTTTTATAGTAATATTTTTGAACATTTTCAATTATATTATCTCATTTTACACTGTGGCATAGCTGATGGTCCTGAATGTTTATTCTATTGGTTCCATATAGGAACAAATATATGTTATTATCAATGCTTTCTGTGGATTAGATCAACGAATTGTCACGCTAAAAAGTTTGGATAGGTTATCATATTCACCTGCCAATGTTGTAAAATAATACAGATGGTGTAGAAAATTTATCAAATGAGAAAAGTATTCCCAAGAGAGTGGAATATACATAGATAGTCCTTTACTGACATTATGCAAATTGAGGTGAGGGCCAGGGGATTTCAGATGTTATGGTATAAAGAAAAGCATTGTCTCCTGAGGAATGAGAATGTGTGCTTTGGAATTCAGTAAGCCTGAGTTCTAATTCTGGCTCTGCTATATTCTAGTTGCATGACTTTTCACAACCAACTTAATCTCCTTGAATCCCAATTTTACTATCTGAAAAACTGGGGTAATAATATCTATTCACTTGTCGGTATGAAGTTTTGTAGAATAATGTATGTCATGTGCTTAACTCAGTCCCTGACTTATAGCTAAGTGCTTTATAAATAGCTAGGTAACATTATTTTCCTTATTTTTTCCAGGGATGATGTTTTAATATATAGATCTGGAAAACTAGGTAGATAGCCGCTGAATGGAAAAAGGGAAATTCTGAGGGTGGTAGGAGAGAAGACTATTAGACACACTTAGAACAAGCTTCACAGTGCTGCCTGGGTCTGCCTTTACCTGTAGGAACCCTAATTGTATCTTTTCAAAGAAATTTCCTGATGTCCTGATTCAGTTCCGGTCATTTACCAGAAATATCTTTCTTCAGACTTTTAATATACAGATAATTAGAAATGAGATCAGCTGACTTCTGCATTCTTCTGTCCTAACCATGATAAATGCACATAAAGATAGATGAAGGCAAAGGAAGGAAGGACAAAATAACGTGCTGTTTCCTACTCTGGCTTAATTCTACTCTAACCTGGCCTTTGTATCACCATAATTAGAATCATTGCTTATTTTCTTTTTTTTTTTAAGTTACGTAATTTTTATTTATCAGAAAAATCTATGTCACACAAACACAGATGTACAGTAAGTCCTGACTTAACGTTCAAATTAGGTTCTTAAAAACTGCATTGTTAAATGAAACAATGTTGCTATATGCCATTCAAACATAACTCTTGTTTATATCAATTAAACTTTCGTAAAATTAGTTTTCCTAAACAATATGTTGCTTCCCTCAGTTTCCAAGAACCTATCAACAATGTTAAGTGAGAACTTACTACTCATTTATATAACTTATATAGATGTGTGTGTGAGACACACATTTTTAAATAGCTACAGAGAGATATATCTCAATGACAGGATCTCAACAGACTTCCTACTGAGACAAAATTATAATAGCTATTAACAAATAAGAGAACAATTGAGAGCTTAATATACACTTAGCAATGTTCTATGCTGGTTAATGACATAGCACATTAATGCTGGTTAATGATACAATGCATTTAAGGAATATACAAGGTGAGTAGATACTTTAATCCAGTGGTGTCCAACCCTTGGAATGCAAGGACTTTTTTGCTTATCTTCTGTGGTGGAAGATATCACAAAAATTTTTCAAAACCTTTTTTTTTTTTTTTTTTTGGAGACAGAGTTTCACTCTTGTTGCCCAGGCTGGAGTGCAACGGCGAAATCTCGGCAAACCGCAGCCTCTGCCTCCTGGGTTCAAGCAATTCTCCTGCCTCAGCCTCCCAAGTAGCTGGAATTACAGGAATGCGCCACCACGCCCAGCTAATTTTGTATTTTTAGTAGAGACGGGGTTTCTCCATGTTGGTCAGGCTGGTATCCTACTCCCGATCTCAGGTGATCCAAGCTCATCAGCTATCATTAGTGTTAGTGTATTTTATATGTGGCCGAAGACAATTCTTCCAGTGTGGCCCAGGGAAGCCAAAATGTTGGAAACTCATGCTTAAAACTTATTATAATTTCAACATTTGCACATATAGAGTTTAAATTACAAACGAGTTTATACTAAAACAGTAACATTTTGAAGTAAAATAACATTACATTTTTTCATATTTAGGAAATGCTTATTGTTCTGATAAAATTGCTGAGTAAGAATTTTGCAGAATTACATTTGCAACCTCTATAGGATTAAAAAACACTAAGCAGAAAAGACGCAACGTCTGTCCCTGGTGTTCCTGGCATTGCTGAACCAAATCCCAGTATGTCCACTACTCATGTTACACATTTTGGACATGATACAAAAAGAATATTTGAAAAAAAATCTTTGACATAGAGCTCCTCAATAACACAAATATTCCAATGTCTCCACAAGCAATGGAACAGTAGTCAGATCATGCAGCACCTTATAAGTGATAAAGTGGATATTAGCTCTCTCTGTAAACTTAAAGGGAGATCACTAAAGCAAAAAGAGAATTCTTAGAAGATTTAACAGCATGGGACAGAAGATGCCCCTATTTGTGAACATGAGAAAAAATGCAGCTTTTTCAGAAATTATTTTCATTGGAGCAGAATTTCCCAAACTACCTGTTTTTATTAATTTATTTATTTATTTTGAGACGGAGTCTAGCTCTGTCACCAGGCTGAAGTGCAGTGGCGTGATCTCGGCTCACTGCAACCTCCGCCTCCTGAGTTCAAGCGATTATCCTGCTTCAGCCTCCCAAGTAGCTGGGACTACAGGTGAGCACCACCATGCCCAGCTAATTTTCGCATTTTTAGTAGAGATGGGGTTTCACCATGTTGGCCAGGATGGTCTCTATCTCTTGACCTCGTGATCCACCCGCCTCAGCCTCCCAAAGTGCTTGGATTACAGGCGTGAGCCATTGCACCCAGCCCCAAACCACATTTTAAGGCCTGGCTTCCTTCTTCACCTTTGGTCCCCTTGCCTGTGTCCTCTGCTTCATTCACTCTCACCTGCCTGGGAGTCTGGCTACGATCTTATGTATCTTCACATTGTAGGGCTCTTTTATTTGCTCCAGACAGGTGACCAGGTCTGGGTTAGAGATAGCAACACCCAGGGAGACCAGGTTTCTGTAGTTCTCCAACATCACATCTCTATACAAATTCTGCTGGGCAGGGTGCAGGCATTTCCACTCTTCTGGAGACAATTCTATGGCCACATCCCTGAATGTTACATTATTATGAATTTAGATGTACGATCTCTGTGTCTAGTGTGGTTGTCTCTGACAATCTCCACCTCCATCCTAATTCCTCCACCAAGATTTGGGGGTTGTCAAGGAAAGGACATTCTGTGAAGACATAGTGTATGTTATACATTTCAATATAAGAATTAAATTGATTCATATGTCAGCCTAAATGAGGTCTTGCCTCCCTCTTGGTGAGTTTTTCTCTTGTGTAACTTGCGAAGTGTGGGCTGGGAGAGCTAGCTATTCCTGTTTGGAAAACATACCAACCTGAAAATGTCCAAGGTGAGCAGATTGGCTTTGATGCCTTTATAAAATTATGAGTCCTCCTACTGAATCATTTACTCTCACTTCCTTCACTTAGTCTGTTCTTACTGTATGTTGGCAAGTGCAGAAGATTAAGATTAGGCCTTGGGCTAATTAAGAAGTCAAAATTAGCACCTTGTCCTGCCTCTAAACTGGGTAGAATTGGTCCTCCCATGACCTGCACAGATTTCAACTTGGCCAGCATATGACAACCCCACAGGAGCTTTACAAAAAAACACCTGTTTGTTGTTTCTATTCTACACAAGTCAATCAAATCAAAAGTTACATGGATGGAACTCAAGCATAAGTTTACTTTTATAAAATGATCTTTAAGTTATTTTAATATGTAACCAAGCTAGAGAATCCTTGCATTGAATCTTAATTCACTTATGGTGCACACTTAGATTTGGAGCTTAATGTGATTTAGGGCTCATATAATGCTTACTTTAAGCCTCTGTGCATATTTATTTGTGGTACTTTCAGAAGAGTAAAAGACAGTGACTTGTAGATAGGATTTGAGTGTTCACATTCCTGAATTTTTACAATTTCTCTTTATATCTCACATGGTTCATCTATCAGTAGGTCTATATACTAAATACATAAGTCATTTACATAGTTTAATATATAAATATGAATACATAATGTATAAATGTTTACTTATGTATACATTTATAATGTATAAAATCATATATAAAAATATACATTATATATTTATTGATAGGAAATTGTGGGGGCTCACCGAGTAGTTGCACGGCTGTCCCTGCATCTATTGCTACAGCTTCGAGTCCACAGGCATGCAGAAAAGAACATGTGCAGCCTGATTACATAAGTATGAGAAGACACCTAACAAGGTTGGTCTGAAGCCTTTGTCAGTTCTTGTTTGCTTCTCACCTAGTGAAGTATCCTGTAGAAACTGGGTACCTTTTCCATGGTGCTGAACCCACACATACACATAGACACACACACACACACACACACACACACACACACACACACACACACACACCCCTAACTGAGGAATCATCAGGAATCATAGAAACTGAAGAAAGATCCAGAGACAGAAAGTAGAGCAATTGCAGGTCCAGCTGCCACTTCATACCGACAAGGTGAATCAGTAGATCAACAGCAGCAAGGTAGGTATGGGGGTTTTAGAACGTAAAATATTCCACTGTTTTCTCTCCTTTTTGCATTCTCTCCTCTCTGTATCTCGGATAGAGGGTCTTAGTCCCTTTTAAAAGAGATTCAACATAATTAAGTCTGGGGCAACAGAATATCCTACCTTTTGATTACCTCAAAACCAACTGATAATGGAGTTTAATTACATGTGCAAAATCCCAAAACAGCACTTACACTAGTGTTTGATTGAATAACTAGGAGACAGTGTGTGTACGGTACATAGTGGCTGCTGCCTTCCTCTGTCTGCCAACTCCTGTGAGACAATCTCCCTTGTAGTCTACTCTAACTAAAAATGACTAGAAAGGGAATTCTGGGGAATATATTTCAGCTCAATCAAATTGACATATCATAAAGCTATCATATATGGCTTTCATGAATCAACAGCAGTGTCCTAAACTTCTTCTGGTGTGAGGGAGACCTCAGGTTCAGATCAACAGCCACTCAAGATGTATCAGTCCATCAGAGTACCTAAATTGTACAGCTGGTGTTTGAAAGCATTGCTTCAAATTTAGTGAGCACCTCTCTTCTAAAGACAGGCACCTCAGATCGAAGCTTCACATCTCGCTTATCCCTTGCTTTCTTCTTTATGCTCTTTGTGTCTTCCAAGTTTTATAGGGCTAATTAATAGAAGTATTGGACTTCAAAATGACCTCTTCAGTCTTCTCTTAGTTCTCCTTCCTTTATGCTTCTGTCACTAGAATAAGCAAATCAAAATGCTATTGATTTGTTAGAACATTTATACAGGCATCCCAGAACTCTCATGATGTGCTTAACACCACTGATATGAGAAGCCTGGCTTTTTTGAAGTATGGTCAAATTGCTTGTGGGATTGCATTGATTGCGCAATGATCTGTTCGATTGCTCACTCACTGAACTATGAAGAATCAATCCAGTTAGTCATATAGATATGCCCGTGCTCTCACTAAACACTGTAAATGAATTCAGTTTTTATTTAAAGTAGTCATAAAGAGGGGAATTCAGGAAAAAAGACAGAAATTCACGAGCTATTGGGAGGAAATCACTCATCCTCTTGCATTCATATGATAGCTTAGGTTGCAATTACAACTGCCTAGTGAATGTGTTATAAAGATAGGGCTACTTGCATGTCCCCAGAATGAACTAATCCTAACTAAATTTATGAAATGGCTTTTTAGTTTTTTATTAGTGCACCAAGTCTGCCCTGTGGACAAATACTGGCAAAAAAAAAGAATAGTAACTCTAGTACATTCTGGTGGGTAGTAGTTAATTATTCTCTACTACATTCTTTCTCTTCAAAACTCTTTTGAATATGGTATGAATATGAATATGTCCCATCTCAGCTTGAACACATTTAAAGCCTCATGTTCTGAAGAACCTATTGTAAGGCAGACAAAATACTTATCTAGATTAAATTAATAAAATTAAGTTTTAATGGTGGAATGTAAAGCATAATTAGCAAGTGAAAATAAACACACAAAACACAATTTGTAGGCAAGATACATTTAAACATTGCTAAGTTGGGACTGTAAGACTGCCTAGAATTTTTACAGTTGTTTCAAATGTGCACATAAGTACTTGATGGGAGGTACGCATCTCTAGATCTAGCAGACAGAGCAGTGAGACAGAAATATCACTGGAAAAGTCATTTAAATTCAGCCCCATAGGAACTTGACCTGTGATAATTTAATCTTAAACCCAAATACTTACATCTCTAAATTGAAGATATGACATTTTCTGTTCTTTTTTTGTTGTGGTTTACTTCACAGAATTTCCTTAGCCCCAAAAACCCAAATAAAATAATACATTGGAAAGAGCCATGGATATTACATTACATTGTATTTAGACGGGTTGATGTCACATTTAAATCTTTTTTACATTATAAGCAGGCAGGGGCATAAAATTCTTGAAGCGGCGGGGCGTGGTGGCTCATGCCTGTAATCCCAACACTTTGGGAGGCCGCAGCTGGCAGATCACCTGAGGTCGGGAGTTCGAGACCAGCCTGACCAACATGGAGAAACCCTGTCTCTACTAAAAAGACAAAATTAGACAAGCACGGTGGTGCATGCCTGTGATCCCAGCTACTCAGGAGGCTCAGGCAGGAGAATCACTTGAACCTGGGACGCGGAGGTTGCAGTGAGCCGAGATCACGCCATTGCACTCCAGCCTGGGCAACAAGAGCAAAACTCTGTCTGAAAAAGAAAATTAAAGCCTTGAAGAATGTGTTCTAATATAATGTATTATTTAATTTACTCATTGTTCACTTGCTAGGTCTTGCATAATCAGTAAGAATGTTCTATTGATTATTGTCTTTAATGCAAATCTTTAAACTACAAAGAGTATAGTGTAAGTTCCAGTTAGGTTCTGTCTGCACTGTCTCAGAAGACATTGCAACTTGGCAGGACTTGAGTGTAGTGCAACACAAGCAGCTTAGCA